>NC_000006.12:19908484-20060000 GCF_000001405.40 Homo sapiens
TAAACATTAGCTTTAGGCCGTTTGATTACTGGTTTCCCAGAACGCTATGTTCTGTCCCGTTTCTCTCCATATTCCTTTAATATTAAAAATAGGAAATGACTGAGGCGGTTGAATGGATCTGCCTTGGAGGCTGTTCCCCCAGCCAGTCTCTCAAGCATTGTTGGGTCCTCATCCCACCAAACCCCATTTCATCTTTATGACATAGACAGCCCTATGCCAAGCAGACGGAACCAGGGCACCCACCATATCTAACATGGAAAGTATTTAGAAACTGAGCCCTTCCTTCTTCTCCACAATTATTAATTTCTTAACAGTGCCTCGCTTTGTTTAAAAAGCTTCCTTGACTGTGGCTCATTTTAGGTAAAGGTCGTTTTAGTTTTCGCGTTGGCTTAGCATCTGAATGGAAAGAACTGACTATAAATGAGTCTTTGAACAGGTGAGGTAAACGGAGCCCTGGATAAGAAGAAAGCTCACAGAAGGCCCTCCTTGGTCTAGCAGAACCCAGGACCTGATCTGGGCTGACACAGGGATCAGTTGTGATTCCAGCAGATACTCTTATTCCCACACTACTTCCTTCAAGCTCTGAGCTGACTCAGGGGAAAGCATATCTGACAAGCCTCGTAGTAGGAACCATTCCCCGGAGTGTCAAAGGGTAGAAAGGCAGCTAACAAGTCAGGCCATGAATTACTTTGCTGGTGGGGACAGATACCAGATGAACATATGTACCCGGGTTCTGCACAAAAATGTCTTTCATGCTCCTCAAAAACAACGTCACAAAGTTTGTCCCAGTGAGTTTGTTTGCCCTCAATATGTGCCTCTGAAGCAAAATGAAAAGAGAAAATGTGAAGGAAAGCAATGGTCATTGCAATTAAGCTAGCAAACAACTTAATCCTGAAGCCAAATTCATTCTCACATAAATTTAAATAACATTTTAGAAAACCTTAAATTATCCGTCATTTCAAATTCTATTCTGTGCTTTGGTAACATTCTTAAGCACATTCGTACACATTTAGAATTGTTGGACACATACTATTTTGCCTTTTCCTTTTGAAATGTAACACGATTTCACACATTTTCGTACATCACCATTGTCCACGAACTTATCTGTAATAGCAATACGAAACTCAGTCTTTCATTAGTTTAGTCATTCAACAAATATTTCTGAGCACCTCTAGTTACTAGAGACTTATATATTATCAAAGAGAGGATCCCTAAGGATAACCCAACAGGGTTGTTTTTCAACAGTCTTAAAACTGATCTCTTTATATTTTATTTATTTTGCAAAGTCAGCCTTCTGTATCACCAAATAAAGAGAGATTTTTCCTCAAGAAAAAGTGAACGTAAAGTACAAGGTCTCACTTCACTTTCTGTGCCTTAATCTCTTCTATGGAAAATGAGGGAGGGATAAATTTGATACCCAAATCCTTTCTTTCCCTGGAATTCTGTGGTCTAGGTTTAAGGAAACAGTAGCAACATAACGTGTTTTGTTTTGTTCAAGCATCCTACAATTGCTCTTGGAGTCATTATGCTGTCTCTAGTCTCTAATTCACCAGACAAACACTTAAGCAAGAACATCGAATTTTTGTTGTAAAGCCCCACTAAATGTTTAGCTGCAGCGTGTGAATCCTCAGAAACAGCCCAGGAATTTAGGAACTGGGAACAAAGGGACATATCTTTCGCTATGATAAGGGAAGAACAAGGAGGCCTTTGGGAAAACAAGAAAAATCCCATTATGGGATTCAATGAGAGAAGAGAAAATTGTTTCCTCTTAATAAATATGACTTTATTTCATTCCAGCCACCTATTAATCCAAATTAAAAAAAAATGTTCTTGGCACTGGTGATTCCTGTCTGAGCCCATTGCTGTTCTGATTTCCCACTGAGATCTACAAGTGATCAAGAGATCAATAATTCCAAATGGTGTTTTTACAGGAGCATTTCCTTCCAGAGTATGAAAATGCTCTTTCATGAAGACAGATGGACGCAGTCTGCAGGACCCTGCTTGCTCGAGAGAAACCGTCTTTGAAAACTTTTGACAACCAGCGGGGTAGCACGTCTGTTTCTGTTTAAATGAGCTCATTACAGTTAATATTTTTGTGACTTCCAACCAGTTGTTCAATCATTTCTCAAGTGTGATACGTTTTAATCAAAAACGAAACACTTTAGGACACAGATATTGTTAACACCCCATTTTTACTACATCTTTTCTGGAACAAAGTTTCTGGAATAAGGAACTTTTTTAAAAAGTGGGGGATGGTACTTATGATATTTCTTTGTTTGCTGGAATAGAGAAAGTGGAATGATAAACAGGCCCCAAGTTATTGTAAGAATGACATGTCCCTCGTCTACTTTCATAGGTCTGTTTCTTCGGTAAGCCATTTTCTGATCTCGCTTAGAGGATTTTATTTTATTGACTACTTTAAAAGATATAGTAAATCTAGTCTATCTGGCATTTTATTGACCAAAATAATCTAGTAAATGGCACTTCTGAGTTTATCAGCAAAATAATAGTTGACGCTTATAATGATGATGGACAGAGGAGAATAGGCTACCAGCCAAAAGGTCAGATGGCAACCAAAGCAGACGCCCAGATTCAGGAAATGTCAGAAAGTGACACTTTTGAAGAGAAGAAAACTCTCCTTATTGTAGGACTGCAAAGTGTGATTCTGGGGGCATTCTAATACTGGGGATTAAGGGACTCCCTTAAATGTTATTGAAGTGGAACTTTAGTCAGTGTACATTTGAAATGGTAACCTGTATGGGAGAACAGTCTTCTAGGTTGACATTTGAAGTGGTATTGCCATGGCAAATGTACCCTAGAGGCATGGATCTAAACGGAATCTAGGAAAGACAGAGTGCAGAGTAAGAAATTCTTATTACTGTCATGCTAGTGCAAAGATAAAAATCACTGGGATGCCAGAAGAGCTGTGGCATTTCAATAAGCCACCACTGCTCTATGGTAATGACCAACAGGACACTCAACACCCCATGTGCACAAATCAGCCATGGAATCTTAATTCGACTTTTTGATAAAAGAGATTAAGTTGATGGAACCATGCAAATATAGCATTCAATTTGGTAGCAAATGATGGCCACTATAAATTAGTAAATTGACATTCAGGTCCAGATTTATCTCACGCAAGCTGGATGGCCCCTGGGCAAAGCTGGGATGTTCATTCCTAATTCACATTATGCAGTGAGGTCCAGCTTACACTGATGTCAACTCCCTGACTAACAGAATTACCAAACTATTGATGCCTCTGCTTTTGTTACCCAAGAAAGATTAAATAATGTTAAATAGAAATTGTATTATATTTTAATTCCTTAAAAAGTATAATTGAAATAATAAAAATAATACCTAATAGTTATTGAGTATTTGCTAAGTGCCAAGCACTATTTTAAGTGTTTTAATGTAGATAGATAGATAGATAGATAGATAGATAGATAGATAGATAGAGAGACAGAGAGATAGAGAGATAGATGCATTTTAATGTATAGACAGATAGATAGATTTAATCTTCATGGCATTCCTAAGAATATTCCCATTTTACAGATGAGGCAATAGAGGCACAGGGAAGTTAAATAAATTGCCAAGATCACACAGCTGGTGAAAGGCGTAGTCCAGATTTGAACTCTGGCAATTTAGATCTTCAGTCCATCTTCTCAATTACTAGACAAAATCTCTCTATTAAATAAATGTTTTATTGAGCAGTATATGCCATTGACCAAAGAAGTCAGAGAAAAGTTCTACTGAGTTAAACAAGATTTTTCCATTTATAATAGCATTCCCTAGCATTGTTTTTGTTCCCCCCTGGTTTGACTTTGGTATTCAGAATACATCTTTTTTCATAACTCCCATGTGTCTGAGGTCAGGATTTTCACATGTGGTGCAAACACCCATTCCCAAATCAACCCCTTGACTTCCAACCGCAGGTTTACTAGGAGTAATTAAATACTCTGCAATGCAAAGATCATGTCTGGGCCAGATAAAGCAAGGGCAGGGTGGAACTTGGCCGCCATGTTTTGTTTTTCAGTGCATATACTGAGACTACACGGCCGGCAACTTTCACCTCTTATATTACTTTTCTCCTTTGCCAATTATTGACCCTGGGACCAGTAAACAAAAACTTGTCTTCCTTGCTGCTCTGAAGCAAATATACAATTAAAACACAGGTGTGTTTGTCTTATTAGAATCTTTGCCATGGAAATTCTAAAACATTACCAAGGCAGGGTCATGTTATCTTGCTGTGTTACTGAACAGGAGAGATGGGGAAGTCTAAATAGAGACACTAAGCCCAGAATGTGCCTAGCCCAGGGGCACCTGCAAAGAGGAGTATGTAAAACAGGTTCTCTGACCACAAGCATTGTGTAAGAGGATGACATTTTCCATGAGGAGGACCACAGTGGCTAAGCCAAGCCCATAGAGTGGAGACCCCAATCTGTTTCTAATCAACATCACTCAGGGGTCAAAGTCGTAATAGCATCAGGTTGATGAGATAGGGACGGGAGCTGGAGATCCACTGATGAGCTAGCTGGGATAGACCGGGCATCTTCCACAGTGCAATCTTTACTCAATCATTTATTCATTCATATAAATATACTGTTGAAGGCCAACTATATTTCAAGCACTGAGTAAGACAGGCACTATCCCCTGATCCCAAGGAATGTGTAGCCTAGCTCATGAACCCAGCTCAGCCAGAAGTCAAATTCCAATCATCAGGCCTATCTGGAAGAAGTGGGAAGAGGGTGTCGTGATATAGACAAGATGAACAGTTTGGGGTAAAGCATGCAGAGTATTTCCAGTCTAGGACCTGTGTTTGCTGGAACATCTGCAAAAACAAGAAGACCACTGGTAAAGTTCAGAATCTGCAGGGTCAGAGTCAGTTAAGTTTAGAATAGCAAGCATGTCACCTGATAGAAGAGGCTGATCCTGGGCTAGGCAAGGTGGCTCATGCCTATAATCCCAGCACTTGGGGAGGCTGAGGCAGGTGGATCGCTTGAGGTCAGCAGTTCAAGACCAGCCTGGTCAACATGGCAAACCCCATCTGTACTAAAAATACACAAATTAGCTGGGTGTGTTAGTGCATGCCTCTAGTCTCAGCTCCTCAGGAGGCTGAGGCAGAAGAATTGCTTGAACCTGGAAGGCAGAGGTTGCAGTGAACCCAGATTGTACCACTGCACTCCAGCCTGGGAGACAGAGCAAAGATTCTCTTTCAAAAAAAAAAAAAAAAAGAAAAAAAAAAAGAAAGAAAGAGAGAAAAAGAAGAAGAGGCTGATCATAAAACAGGTTGTCTGCTCTCTGTCCAGGTGCAACTTCTTGCTGCTGGGCAGCCAATGCTCCACAGACCTCTAGCCTAGACTGAAGATGGCCCCATTCTTGCAGGAGGATTGCCCACTGATGCAGGGGCCGGGATGCTGGGGTTGGCAGAAGGTGCTGAGGGCACACTTGGAATTCATGGTGTTACGTATATTTTTGGCATCAGATTAACTTTTCTCTAAGTGTTTATCTCTGATGGACATTAAGATTAATCTTGCATTCACTGAGAGCACACCAAATCATGGCAGAGAAAGGCAGTCCAAATGAATGGTGCATGAGAGAAAGGGACTACAAGATACCTAACATTTGGCTAATAGTGAATTAATAGAGAGTCAGTGATGTAAAATGCAATTCATTTTCATATATTATAAGTAGATAGACATATATATATAAGATATATAGAACATATACAGACATAGGCATGTGTGTATATGTGTGTGTATGTGCATATATATATATATACACACACACACACATACATACATACATATATATCTCCAAATACATGTGGCTTCTACTTTGAGCTTGACAAATATTTCTGGCCATGTGACCTATTACAGAAAGTTATTTAGGCCTTTTTTTCATGATGGTAGATTAGAGCTTTACAGTGTGCCTCAGCCACTTGGAAATAGCAAGATAGTACACAAAGATCAATTCTGTAAGCTTTAATTCAAGAAGGAAAATGGGAATCCACCAGAATTGTGAAAGACACCCCAGATCCCAGAGAGGAGAATGCCAGCAAGCAGCTCCCATGATGGTAACTGACTGATAAAAGGAAAGAACGAAAAAAAAAAAAAATCCTACCTGCGTGAAAACAATTACAAAAGTTAGAAGTGTCAATGTCTCCAGATGAGAAGGAACCAGCACAAAGATTCTGCACCATGAAAAATCTGAATGTAGTGACACCACCAAAGAATTGCACTAGCTCTCCAGCAATGGTCCCTAACCAAAATGGAAACTCAGAAATGACAGACTAATAATTCAAAGCATGAATTGCAAGGAAACTCAATAAGACCACGACAAAGTTGAAAATAAACACAAACAAACCTCTAAATCAATCCATGAAATGAAGGAAGATATTTATCTCTTCCTTCATCTCTTCCTTCATTTCATGGATTGATTTAGAGGAAATCAATCAGAGCTTCTGGAACTGAAAAACTCACTTAAGGAGTTCGAAATGCAATTGAAAGATTTGTCAATAGACTGGACTGAGCAAAATAAAGAATTTCAGAGCTTGCAAGCTGGTCTTCTGAATTAACCCAGGCTGACAAGAATAAAGAAAAAGAATTTTTTTTAATGAGGAAAGTCATTGAGAACTATGAAATTATGTAAAGTGACCAAACCTATGAATTGTTGGTATTGCTGAGAGAGAAGGAGGAAAAGCAAACAACCTGGAAAATGTATTTGAGAAAATAATTCAAGAAAACGTCCCTAATCTTGCTAGAGAAGAAGACACCCAGATACAAGAAATCCAGAGAACATCTGTGAGATACTATACAAAATGAACAGCACCAAGACATATAGTCACCAGACTGTCCAAGGTCAATGCTAAAGAAAAAATCTTAAGGGCAGCTAGAATTAAAGGGCAGATCATGTACAAAGAGAACCCCATCAGACAAAAAGCAGATGTCTCAACAAAAACTTTACAAGCTTATTTTCAGAAAATGTTCTTGTATTCTTAAAGAAAATAAATTCCAACCAAGAATTTTATATCCCATCAAACTAAGCTTCATAAGTGGAGAGCTAAAATCTTCTCTAGACAAGTAAGCACTAAGCAAATTCATTACCACTAGATCGGCTTTAGAAGAGATCCTTAAGGGAACTCTAAACATGGAAAAAACAAACAAACAAAAAATACCTGCTACCAAAAAAACACACTTAAGGACAGAGCCCATAGACCCTGTAAAGCAAAAACACAGTAGAAACTACAAAGCAACTAGCTGACAACTTCATGATAGTATCAAAACCTCACATTTCAATATTAACCTTGAATGTAAATAGTCTAAATTCCCCACTTAAAATGCACAGAGTGGCACGCTGGATGAAAAAACGAGACTCATCCACCTGCTGTCTTCAAGAGACCCATCTTACACATAACAACACCCATAGGCTCAAAGTAAAGGGTTGAAGAAATATCTACAACACAAACAGAAAAAAACAAAAAAGAGCAGGGGTCCCTATTCTTATATCAGATAAAACAAACTTTAAACCAGTAATGGTAGAAAAGAACAAAGAAGAACATTACATAACGATAAAGGGTTCAATTCAACAAGAAGACTTAATCCTAAATACATATTCACCCAACATTGTAGCATCCAGATTCATAAAACAAGTACTTCTAGACCTACAAAAAGACATAGTCACAAAATAATAGTAGGGGACTTCAACATCCCACTGACAGCATTAGACAGATCATCAAGGCAGTAAACTAACAAGGAAATTCTGAACTTAAACTTGACACCTGATCAATTGGACCTAACAGACATCTACAGGATACTTCACCCATTAACCACAGAATATACATTCTTCTCATCTGCACATGGGACATACTCTAAGATTGACCACATACTTGGCCATGAAGCAGGTCTCAATAAATTCAGAAAAATCAAAATTAAACTAACCATACTCTCAGGCTACAATGAAATAAAAATAGAAATCAATATGAAGAAGATCTCTCCAAACTACACAATTACATAGAAATTAAACAACTTTCTCCTGAATAACTTTTGGGTAAACAATGAAATCAAGGCAGAAATAAAAAAGTATTTGATATAAGTGAAAAGACACAAAATATATCAAAATCTCTGGGATATAACAAAAGCAGTATTAAAAGGAAAATTAATAGTACTAAATGCCTAACTCAAAAACTTAGAATGATCTCAAATTAATGATGTTCCTCTAACATCACACTTAGAAGAACTAGAAAAACAAGAACAAACTAACCCTAAAGCTAGCAAAAGAAAAGAAACAACTAAAATCAGAGTGGAACTGAACAAAATTGAGGCCCCAAAATCCATACAAAGAATCAACAAAACCCAAAGTTTGTTACTTGAAAGGAAAAACAAGACTGATAGACTGATAGCTAGACTAACAAAGAAAAAAAAGAGAGATGATCCAAATAAGCAGAATCAGAAACGACAAAGGTAACATTACAACGGATTCCACAGAAATGCAAAAGATCCTCAGAGACTATTATGAACACTTTTATGCACACCAACTAGAAAAATCTAAGGGAAATGAATAAATTCCTGGAAACACACAATCTCCCAGGATTGAACTAGGAAGAAATTGAAACCACAAACAGGTTAATATCAAGTTCTGAAATGCAATCGGTCATAAAAAGCCTACCAACAAAAACAATTCCTGGACCAGATGGATTCACAGCCAAATTCTACTAGACTTACAAAAAAGAGCTGGTACCAATTCTACTAAAACTATTTCAAATAGAAACTCCTCCCTAACTCATTCTACAAAGCTAGCATCCGCCTGATACCAAAACCTGTCAAAGACACAATGAGGAAAGAAAACTACAGACCAATATCTCTAATGAACACACGCAAAAATCCTCAACAAAATGCTAGCAAACTAAATTCAACAGCAAATCAAAAAGTTAATTTGCCATGATCAAGTAGGCTTCATTCCTGGGGTGCAAGATTGGTTTTGACATATGCAAATCAATAAATGTGATTCACCACATGAACAGAATTAAAAACAAAAACCATATGATCATTTCAATAAACATGGAGAAAGCTTTCAATGAAATCCAACATCTTTTGTGCAAAAATCAGTACTGTTTCTATACATCAATAATGTTCAGGTTGCGAGAGAAATCAAGAATGCAATTCCATTTACAATGGCTACCAAAAAAAAAATTCCTAGGAATATATCTAACCAAAGAGGTGAAAGATCTCTACAAGGAGAACTACAAAACAGTGCTAAAAGAAATCATAGATGACATAAACAAATGGAAAAATATTAAATATTACGGATTTGAAGAATCAATATCATTAAAATAGCCATAATGCCCAAAGCAATCTACAGATTTAGTGCTATTTCTATCAAACTAACAACAATTATTTTTTACAAAAGACTAATCTAAAATTCATATGGAACCAAAAAGGAACCCAAATAGTCAAAGCAATCCTAAGGGGAAAAAAAAAAAGCCAGAAGGATCACATTACATGTCTTTATACCACAAGGCTCCAGTAACCAAAACAGCA
This sequence comes from Homo sapiens, assembly GCF_000001405.40. Classification (NCBI taxonomy): domain Eukaryota; kingdom Metazoa; phylum Chordata; class Mammalia; order Primates; family Hominidae; genus Homo; species Homo sapiens. The sequence goes on from NC_000006.12 coordinate 19,918,021, forward strand.
TCGTACTGGTACAAAAACACTTACATAGACCAATGGAACAGAAGAGAGAACTCAGAAATAAAGCTGCACACCTACAGCCGTCTAATCTTCAACAAAGTCAACAAAAATTAGCAATAGGGAAAGGGATCCCTGTTCAAAAAATGGTGCTGGGATAGCTGGATAGCCATGTGTAGAAGAATGAAACTGGACCCCTACCTTTCACCACATACAAAAATTAACTCAAGACAGATTAAAGATATAAATATAAGACCTTGAACTATAAGAATTCTGGAAGAAAACCTCAAAAACATCACTCTGAACATGGGACTTGAGAAAGCATTTATAAGTAAGTCCTCAAAAGCAATCACAACAAAAGCAAAAATTGTTAAGTGGGCCCTAATTAAACTAAAGAGCTCCTGTACAGCAAAAGAAACTGTCAACAGAGTAAACAGACAATCTGCAGAATGGGAGAAAAAATTCACAAACTATGCATCTGACAAAGGTCTATAGAATCTATAAGGAATTCTTCAAACTATGTCTTCAAACAGAATCTATAAGAAACTTAAACGATAGGCCAAGCAAATTACAAATAACCTTACTTAAAAATGGGCAAAAGACATGAACAGACACTTTTCAAAAGAACACCTAGAGGCAGCCAACAAAGACCTGAAAAAATACTCATCACTAATCATCAGAGAAATGTAAATCAAAACCACAATGAGCTACCATCTCACACCAGTCAAAATGGCTATTAAAAAGTTAGAAAACAACAGATGTTGTCAAGGCTACAGAGAAGAGGGAATGCTTACACACTGTTGGTGGAAATGTAAATTAATTCAGCCACTGTGAAAAGCAGTTTGGAGACTTCTCAAAGAACTTAAAACTACCATTTGGCCCAGCAATCCCATTACTGTGTATATACCTGAAGAAAAATAAATTGTTCTATCAATAAGACACGTGAACTCACATGTTCATTGCAGCATTATTCACAATAGTAAAAACATGAAATCAACCTAGGTGTCCATCAGTGGTGGATTGGTTAAAGAAAATGTGATACATATACACCACGGAATACTATATAGCCATTTAAAAAATAAAATCATGACCTTTGCAGCAACATTGATACCACTGGAGGCCATTATCCTAAGCAAATTAACATGGGAATAGAAAATGAAATACTGCGTGTTCTCACTTACAAGAGGGAGCTGAACATTGGGAACTCATGGACATAAACATGGCAACAATAGACACTGGAGACTACCAGAGGGGGAGGGAAGTTTGGGCAAGGATTGAAAAACTAACTGCTGGGCATTATTCTCAGTACCTAGGTGACAGGATCATTTGTACCCCAAACCTCAGCATCATGCAATATGCCCAGGTAACAAACTTGTGCACAGGTACCTCCTGAATCTAAAATAAAAGGTGACAAAGGAAAAAGAAAGTTATTTAGCCTCTCAACAAACTAAATTTTTGCCCATTTTACACATAAAACAATTTAATCTGTAGTAATATTAACTTGCCCATTGAAGATTTAGTATGAAGACTAGATAAATGCCATGTGTTCAGCAAGTACCGTGTCACCTGACACTTAATACGTGCTCAGTAAAAAGCAAAGCATTTGCTAGTTACTCAGTCCTCTCAGTTCATGAACCGAGAGAAGGTTACCAACCAAGAATCCTCTGTCTCAAGCCTCACAGTTAATTAGGAAATGCAAAATCCACTGCAGAAGCAAGTAGAGGATCTTGCTCAGACCCAGGTTCTTTTCATAGCTCATGGTGGGGCTCTAAGGAGGAGGTTGAGTGCCAGGTAGGGCTATGGGAACCTAAGGAAGCATGTGGATTGCTATGCTCATCTGGCAATGGCTGTGACTTCTAGGACCAATAATACATACCCAGGCAAATGGGATTAAACTGAGCACTTGAATTATCCTGAACACAGGAGATGGATGAAGGAGCATCGCAGATCACATTGTAGGTGCTGCTTGTATTTCTATCCTCACCTTAGCTGAACTGTCTAGAAAGCTATTTGATACCTGTGAGGTCAAGGTAGAGCTCAGTGGCCACAAATAAGAATCTCAGCCCTGGTGCTCAGCAGAAAGGGCTACAAAACTGCATAGACCCATGATTTGAGTTATTTCATATCAGACTTATTTTTCCCCAAGGTTTGCTTGATTGCCCCCTCTTCCTAGCTTTACTCTCCCATGAAATAACATTGATCGGCTCTCTCACAGTTGTCCAGGTTGTGCATCAATCCCCTTAAGTTGGAATGGCATGCATGCTTCTCACTGTTCCTTGTAAAGTGCAACCCTGCTGCCCTCTGTAGCAGGCTCTTTATTTCCTCCCTTGTGCTAATCAGAAACATTTAGCTGCTTTCCTGCTCAGAGGCTGAATTAATAAATTACAAATTCCTGTTATCAAAGATTTGGAGGTTTTGACAAGTGATTTAGTTGATCACAAATGCAAGACTGTGTCAGGGAGAACCCGTGTTTTCAGGATATAGAAGGTGGATCAGCCTTGAATTTGAAAAATAAACAGGCGAGTTTGATGAGCTCAAATTCATGGCAGAGCTTCTTAATATTTCCTGAGGTTCTAATCAAAGGAGCATCTTAACTAGTCCCAGAGGGAAATGAAAGATGAAAGGCCCACTCTACCTTGCCTTATCATGACTTTCCCCCCACCCCCACCTCATTCCTTTTGCCTGTTTCTAAAAATATCTTGGCAGGTAAGAATTAGTACTAGGATGTTATTTAGTCAAAAAAACAAAAACCCACTGCATAATGTACTGTACCTTTAAAATTTTTAACATCTATTACATTAAAATCAAGGAAATTGACATAGATAGGATGAAAGAAGATACAACACCTCTAGCTTATGCCAACTAAAAATAAGAATTATTAATGAAGCCCGGCTTTCTTCTGCTGTGCACATTAATTATTTATGATAATAATACTCTGTACTGCCATATTAAAGAATTTTCTTCACCCAGCTTCCCAGAAAACTCCATCTTCTTGGGGGGAAAAAGGGAACCTCAACATGTTAAGCCCACAAAAGAACTCATTCCTCTTCGTATATTTATTATACTGGAAGATGAATATAGTCTTGGGTTATTAAACTGGAATGAAAAACACATCTTATTAGAACTTACATGGTGATTTTTATTCTCACTAGTTTCATATAAACTTAATGATGCAGACTGCATTTTATGCTCATCTATTTTAAAATGGTGCCTGGAGCAAAAAAAGCTTCCATTAATGCCAGTTTGGTATTTCAAATACAATTTGATGTAATTTACTTCAAATATATGTGAACAGAGAAGGATAATACCAGTGCATTTTCTAGATTCAAATGTGACTTAGCTCATGGCAATGATTTGTTAAATCTAAGTTATTTGCAAAAGAAAGAAAAGCCAAAAGAAAATTTTTGTTAGTTATAAAATACAAGACATATATATAAAAGAATGAGTCTAACCAGTTTTTGAGGAGAGAAGAGAAAATGGTGGGTTTTATGATAGAAGACTATTTTAACTTTATTCTCGGTTTTAATATTTATCAACCACAAGTAAATAATAACGCATTTTCCCCAGTGATGTGCTGAGCTATCGGAACGCATTGTTTTCTCATATTCATATATTGTAGCATTATATTCATGGATATGTCAACATAAAATCTTGCAGTTTAGAGAGATTTGATATGTTTTAAGCTTGGCAGAGAAATATTAAATAAATGTTTATATTTCCTAATCTTCAAATTTTCTCTCAGTGATTTTTAGAAGAACTATATTTAAAAGAACTTTAAAAAATAATCTTAAATATTATTGTCCTAACAGCTGCTTCTAGAAACACATCAAGCCTGATTTGATGTGTGAATCTCAAAGGGAGAGTTCATGTCGTCTCATCCTCTTTACTTGGTGATCAATGTGCTTGCATGTCTGTTTCCCTTGCTCCGTGTTGACGCTAGGTCAGACTTCACGTTAGGAACGGGTGGCCGGTGTGCCTGTTGAAAATGCTCACAAAGGCATCTTGATGCACTGTAGCTGTCCAAGGTCTCTTCCCTACAGAAACACGCTCTAAGAGGATTACAGAGCTCGTGCTAATTCAAAGGATTTAATATTTTGCTGTGACACCCCGAAAACAAATAGAGAGCCCTGCCATTCCATCTCTACTCCACTTGCTGTTAGAAATTGGTTTTTAAGGGGCCAATCATTGCTTATTAACCTGAAAATATCCCTTCTACTGAAACACCAGCTGCTGAAAGGAGAAGGGTCCCAATATTAATATCCCCACTGATTTTTCAGCATGGTGGCACCTCTCTGGAACACAGAGAAGTTGAGTGATGATAGATTTGGGCTGCGTTTTCTCTTTCTCATTCCTGGCCAGGCCTGCCATGTGCCTGGGCTGTGGGCAGCTGTCCTCATCCTTCCCTTCCTGATTTCCTCAGGGAAGCAACCTTGCTGTGAAGCGGCTGGGCTTGCTGGGAAACAGGAGAAATTGTAGGAGGAGAAGGACTGGCTAGGGGTAAAGGAAACCCAGAAAATGCTGTGCAGTGGCCTGTCTGCAACATGGACCCCGCAGGCAGGCAGCATAAAGCATAACGTCTGTCCTGGTCAAGGACTAGGTTCTCTGAGAAAGGAGGTACAATCTCCTAATGGGTAAGATACTGATTTAGGAATACTGTCTTCTCATTGCCTTAAAAGTGCCAACCCGGTAAGCAAAACATAACCTCTAGTTTCACAATTTTCCTGCATCCAAGGCTGGAGTTAGGAGCAGGGTGATGGGAGAGTCTGGGAGGGAGGCTGCATCTAGAAAGAAAGACAAGGGAGAAGAGTTGGCTTTTACATTTCATAGGCGTGTCAGCAACCAATATGTTTGCTTCCTTGGCTGCCACTAATAAAGGCAGTTCTTAAGAAAAATAAACAAGCCTATATTTTAGGAAGACTCATACATTTCCAGGAATCCTGGCTATGTGTGTCTATGCCAACAGTCACCCCACCCCCCGCCCTAAATGCAATGGGCTCTGCTTTCCCCATTGTCCTTATATAGGAGCAAAAGAACAGGTTTTCTTTCTTTTTAAGTTCTGCAAAAACCTTAGGAAGTATTAAGTGACTCCTTTTTTTTTTTTTTTTTTTTTTTTTTTTTTTTTTTTTTTGAGATAGGATTCACCCAGGCTGGAGTGCAGAGGCACAATCACCACCCACTGCAGCCTCAACCTCCTGGGCTCAAGTGATCTTCCTACCTCAGCCTCCCGAGTAGCTGGTACTACAAGCATATGCCACCAAGCCTGGCTAATTTTTCTTAAGAGACAGGGTCTCCCTGTGTTGCCCAGGCTTGTCTCCAACTCCTGCGCTCAAGCATTTCTCCCACCTCAGTCTCCTCAAGTGCCGGGATTACAGGCATGAGCCACTGTGCCCCTACTCCATTTTTTTTTTGTTTGTTTTTTAAGCTACATCATTTGCATTTCCAACTAGAAGCTAGAAATGACTAGCACTATAACTGTGTCAAAAATCTAGGTCTTAGTCTGAGCCCAGTAAGAAGCCCACCTAGAAGGGATTCAAGCAGACCGCAAAAATGTACCGATATTTCTCGTTCAACTTGCCTTTTCCTCATTAGCCAGATGATAAGGAGACTCAGCAAAATCAAAGAAGTGCCTCTAACAGTGTAAGAAGCACATTTCATATTATAAGCCCAGAGACACACACAGAAACACAAAACTGAAACAAGTCTCACAAAACAATACTTATGCTTTTTTTTTTTTTTTTTGGAGACGGAGTCTCACACTGTCACCCAGGTTGGAGTGCAGTGGCGCGATCTCGGCTCACTGAAACCTCTACCTCCCGGGTTCAAGCGATTCTCCTGCCTCAGCCCCCCAAGTAGTTGGGACTACAGGCGCCCGCCACCACACCCTTTCTATAGATGGGAATATGCTCATATTTCTATTTTATTCTATTCCAATTTCAAGAGCTCAGTTGATTGGACAGCCCACTACTGGGTCACCATGCTGGGTTTGAAAACCATGAAGTCAAAGGACAAGCCCCAAGTTCTATAATGCTTTAGGATTTTCCAGAGTCCCAGTCTGTCTTCTATTTACTTGTAATTGTGGAAGAACATGTTCTATAGATTGAGTGGCAAAAATACATTTAAGAGCAGAAACTGTTTTTCTTTCTCTACTTTGCATGGGAAAGAAAAGAGCATACCTATAAGGAGATAGAAACAAAAAAGCCATCTAACCGTTTTGAATGAGTGATGGTCAGGAATCTGGGGGAACAGAAAAAGGGAAGTAATAACATGGCAGGGGACTGGAGCTTTGAGCATAAAGCATCCAGAATGCCCAGTGTCCACTTTACATTGTTTGCCTTACTCCAACGTAACCCTCTCCATACCTTTGTACTGTAGTAAAGTCTGATACATTCAAATAGCCCCTGTGGTAAGATGGAAAATGAAGGACCTCAACCATTCAATGGAATGTGAACTGTCTCACATGCGCTCTCTACCAAGTGAAGTATGCAGGAAGCAGAAGCCTACTGAGGCGTCCAAGTCCAGCCTTTCTAGAGAGTGACCACTGGCACCATAAGGAGCCAGCTGTGTTTACCAGGAGGAGAAAAGGAGGAGAGTGATACTTCAATGAGGATGTGACCTCAGCAAGCATGCTGATCTGAGTAAGAACTCTGGCATACATTTATTTAAACTATGAAGGATTTAGGTGTTTCTTTTTTTCATGGTTGCTATATATCATCATAAGCCAAAAGCTTTGGCCTTTAATGCCAATGAATCATTCATTTTTCCACCAAATATTTATTGAGCATATCTTAGGTAGCAGACCCTATTCTAGAGGCAGTGGAGAGAAATAAGGTGGAGTTCCTACTCTTCATGACAACTGTATTTTAGCAGTAAATCAATGTGTACATATCCAAACTGCTAAACAGTGATAACTGCCACAAATATTGCATTGTGGGCATTCAAAGAGGAGTAGGTTATCTCTCAGTATTGAGATTGGAGAAGAATTCATGAAGGACTAGAGTTGGAGAGATGGTATTTGACATTCAAAGACTGGGAGATAAGAGAGAACCCAGCATTGGCAAACTATTAGAACAAGAACATGGGGTCAGTGTAATGAAATGTAAAATTGCTTTTTCATCTTTATCACCCCAATGCCTGGCAAAAAGCAGGGACTCGGCAAATAAAATTAACTGGCCCTTACAGAGAAAGAATCAGAAACGCTAACTTATTTGTTCCTGAACAGACAAGCCACAGGCTAGTGATAAGATTCCAAAACAAATGGAAGAAATGTGAGAAAGTTACTACAGATCTCAGTTGTTAATTAGTTATTTCATCTAGTTTAATAGATTTTTCCATTCATGAGGATTTGGCCTCCCAAATCTGGCTTCTCGTCAGAATGATCTGGAGAGGTTTTCACAACTGCAGATCCCCTGGCACCACTCGGGAATTTTGATTCAGCAGGTCTGTGGTGGAGCCCAGAAATTAGAGAGAAGAGGCACCATTCCTTCTACAGTCCTTCATTCAACATAGTAATTAAGGTTTTGCATCCCCCACTTTGCAGTATTTCTTTATTAAACATACTTTTATCTATTTCCTTTTTACCATGCCATCTAAATATGCTGTGAAAGAAATACAATAAAATGTGGCACTCTAAGTGAACTTGTTTAGATAATTGCAGTCATAGGTAATGTTAATTACCTCATGGACCTATTGAAACTACTGAAAACTGAAATCAAATTTTCATTTCTGCTTTTGCTAAGGAAGGACTTTCCCACTCAGGGCTTATACAATTAGTTATTAGTATTTTGGTGTTTTCAAAAAACTCAAATGACAAATTGTACATTTACCCCAGTTTCAATTGTATTTTGTTGTAGTTCACTGACAGTGATCGTAAGTCATAGAGATTTTGTTGATTCTCTAACTGTTATCCATTGAACTTGTGAGCTCTCCAGGCTTCTCATTACTTGCAGACTTGACAACAATACCTTCTATGTCTTCATGCACATCTTAATGAAAATGTGGAAGAGAATGGCGTGAAGAACAACATCCAATGGGCAGTCACTAGAAATCTCTATCTACAGCTGTTTGGAGCCTGGCATTCTACTAATTAACCCACCTCAACATGTTAGCTTCCAATACGTATTACCCTATCTTGTCAACAAAGATCTCACAAAGGATGCTATCAAACACCTTGCTGGAGTCCAGAAATAGGACATCTGATGTGTTTCTCTGATTTACCACATAGGTAACCTGTCAGCGAAGGCATGAGAACAACAGGACATAACTTGTCCTTAGAACCCTTGCTCCATCCCGCTAGAAACTGTGTTTGCAAATAATTGTCTTCATATGCAAATCTAGAGTCTGATCTGAGATTTCAGTCATGTAGGGCATGCTCTTTCTGGGATTGGTGCTAGTTGTCCTTAGTTCAGCCATACTTTCTTTGACAATCTGGCCAGCTTTTTGAGAACTGACTTGAGTAGAGATACAGTTTGTGCCATGCAACAGTGTTTTCCCTTTGTGTGAAACCATTACACCTATCCTGAGACCACATCCCAAACTGTGGCCCTGTCAGGGTCATGCTCCATCAGTTGACCTGAAATTCATCCACACGAATAACCCAGGTAAACTGAGTATCTTGCTCCACCACCACTCTCAGTCAACAAAAAGAGAGTAAAGGAGTATTTTGGGTTTATTCATTTTTTTACCTCTCTCCACAATGAATTAGAGCCATCCCATATATTTTTATTGATTATTGCTAACAATTTCTACTGCTCACACACACACTTGCAAAATTTTTATTATTTCTAACGGAACAACAACCATGTACAAAAAGAAACTCAGATACTGTCTTAGTTCATTGTGTGTTGCCGTAAAGGAATACCTGAGGCTGGGTAATTATAATGAAGGTTTACTTGACTCAAGTATTCTGCTCAGTAACCTGAAGTATTCTGCTGGCTGCAAGGTTCAAGACTGGGCATCTGATGAGGGCCTCAGGCTGTTTCTACTCATATCAGAAGGCAGAGGGGAGCCAGAACCATGTGGTGAGAGAGGAAGCAAGAGAGAAGGGAGAGGTGCTGGGCTTTTTTTTAGCAACCAGCTCTAGGAACAACTAACAGAGTAAGAACTCACCCCTGAGGGAGGGCATTCATCTGTTCATGAGAAATTGGCCCGGTGACCCAAACATCCTCCATCAGGCCCACCTTCAAGAGATTTGGTGGGGACAAACCATATCCAAACCATAGCAGATATACAGAGGCTACTGTGTTCAACCACAGAGAAAGATTTTTTTATTGTTTTTATTTTTATTTTTTGAGAGACAGTCTCTCTCTATCACCCAGTCTGGAGTACAGTAGCACAATCATGGCTCACTGCAGACTTGAATTTCTGGGCTTAAGCAATTCTCCTGACTCAGCCTTCTGAGTAACTAGGACTACAAGCACATGCCACCATACCCAGCAAATTTTTCAATTTTTTTAGAGATGGGGTTCTTGCTTTGTTGCCTAGGTTGGTCTTGAACTCCTGACCATGAGCGATCCTCCTGTCTCAGCCTCTCAAATTGCTAGGATTACAGCCATGAATCACTGCAAGAAAGATATTTTTTTTTAAAGCCTGTGATTCAGACCAAGCATTGGCAGACAAGGATTCACTGGCCAAATTTAGCCTGTGATGTGTTTTTGAAAGAAGCACAAGCAAAACAGTTGTTATATGAGTACATACAAATATCTTTGATTCTCCTCCTGACCTGCAAAGCCTAAATATATGCTGTATCCTAAATACAGAAAAAAAAATTGCTACCCTGATTTAGAATAGCCAAACTCATCATGAAACAGTCACAAATCCACTGAAGTTTGTTGATAATTTACATTTTGCTTAAAAAAAAAAAGTACGGAGTTAATACTTACCACCTCCTTGCCACTGAGCGACATGTTGAAAGCAACCTAATATATTTAGGGCTTGTTTAGGGGTTGGAAAGAGACTTGAAACCATAGGGCATCAGGAACCCAAGGTCTCTGCCTCCTGGCCCTATAAGCAGCCCTGTTGGGCATTCGTTTGATGTGAATTAGTTAACAAAGCAAACGAGAGATCTTGCCATAAAACAGCACCCTTTCTCCATGGTTACTGAGACAGTCTCCAAAGAGGCTAATCAGCTATATTAGAATGAAGATGACACAAATCATTGATGTAAATAAGCAAATTAAGAAAAGGATCAAAGTTTCCCTTTCCCCACAGTAATTCAAAGTATCTTTCCAAGCTTCTAAATTCTAAAGAGCATAAAATGAGGATAAACATAGAAACTATAAAACAGCAGATTATATAAATAAAATTAGAAGGCATACTCCTAATCTCATATTTCCTACTGATGTTTGCCACCATTCAGTGATGCCAAAGCACAAGCTGCCATCAGATCCTAAGCTCAAGGTAAGGGTGAAAAGCAGAAACTTCACCCTCCATGTCATAGTTGCTATGAGTTAGTATAAGTCTAGCTGCTATCAGATCCACTGATTTGGGACTCATCTTTTGACAAAGTATATATGCTGATGAAAAGCTGCTTTTGTTGCAGAGAGACTGCTAATTGTTTGATTATACAGGTCTTCACATTAATGAAGCACTATTCCATGGGTTTGGAGCATGGCGTGCAACCAAATTACCAGCCCAGCACTCATGCTGTGAAATCTGATTATTCATTAGCCAGTCAGTGAGTGGTACCAACATCTTTTCTTTTTTCAAACCATCAAATGAGAATGACTGCTGTTCTCCATCCCCCACTCCCCACTTCAAGAATATGAGGATTTGAATTTGTTGCATGTGGGAAAGGGGAACGGCAGAGAGAGATGGGGTTTCCATGGGAGGTTTTTTTTCCCACACATTTAATGCAATGTATATTATGACTAACAGGGAACAATATGGATTGGCATTTCCTGCAAAAACTGATCACTGCTCACATCATCAGGCTTCACATGAGGATCTATCCTGGGCCTCCTTGACCAAGCTCTCAACCACCAAATGTGGTTGCTTGAATGAACTGGAATTTTACTGTCTCAGAACTGATTGATGAGAATCACTATAAGGCAAGTGTTCAAAGTAAAACAAGGGGAGGGAAGTCTTTTGTGTGCATGAGTGTGTGTGTGTCTTTTGTTCTCTTGTTTGTTTATTATAAGAACTTTTACCTCCACAAATAAAAATAGGGTAGTCATAAGAGGACATAATTACCAGATTGATTTATGAAAATCATTTTATATATTTTTTGTAATTGAACAAAATGCTTGCTTCATTTACATGGCAAAAAAGTTTATGTCCTTTCTGTCTAAAGCCAAGATTGATAGGGATTTAGTGTGACAAGTTTAAAGAACACGTCTCTCATCTATTTCAATGCCAGCATCAAAAGTCAAAAAAACTCAGCTATGACTGCTCTATTTATAACTCAAGCTGGATTGGGTTTCCAAATCAAATGATAGGAATTCCATCTTCTTTACCAAAGAAAGATACTGACACTCTGGCAAATGGGATTATCTCTAATGAGATTACACACAAAGTGATTAAGATGTGAATTGACACTCCCCAGGAGAGACAAAGAGGTTCCTAAAGAAGCAGAGACAGAAATCAGTAAAGTACAGGAGGAAGAGCCTTTCCCAAGAAGGGGGACTCATTTCATAAAGCCCTAATGAGAGAATTAGGGACCAACCTTGCTTTTTTTAACCTGTGCCCAAGAAAATAAAAGTTTGTAATCATCATTAAGAGGGCCCCAGATGCAAAATGAAACTGACCCCAAACCTATTTCAGACCATTTTTAATAACAGAACATTTAGAGGCTCTCTTCCCCATTGGCAAGGCATCTCTCCAATAACTGTTTGCCTATATGCTTTCAACATGCAGACTGCCCTGAAGAAATACTCTCAAAGGATTTTCCTATATTGAATTATGTTCTTTTATTGCTTAAAAGAAACATAGAGATACTTAAGCATGCTCATTTTATGGGTGAAGAAACTGAGATTCAGGAGGCTTGGAGACTTGCTTGGGGGTCACAGTGGTTTTGACAGCTGGGACTAGAACAGAAATCCTTGATGTAAGGCTGGAGAAGTAATCAATTGAACAGGGCCAAAATAATGTAGACCCACAAAAGGAAAGACAAATATGTGAATTGAATGGCAAAGGGAATATTATCAGTTGTGAAAATCTCTGTTAAAAACAAGACAATAAGCTGGGTGTGGTGGCTCATGCCTGTAATCCCAGCACTCCGGGAGGCCAAGGCAGGCGGATCACAAGGTCAGGAGTTCAAGACCAGCCTGGCCAACATGGTGAAACCCCATCTCTACTAAAAACACAAAAATTAGCTGGGCGTGGTGGCATGCACCTGTAATCCCAGCTACTTGGGAGGCTGAAGCAGGAGAATCACTTGAAGGATTCTTCACCCAGGAGGCAGAGGCTGCAGTGAGCCGAGATTGTGGCACTGCACTCCAGCCTGGGCAACAGAGCGAGACTCAGTCTCAAAAAAACAAAACAAAACAAAACAAACAAACAACAACAAAAACCAACACAATAAGTCTATCATTTAGTTTCAGCAACTACTCTGAGGCTACCATAGAATATTGTATTTCTCATGACATCCTGAACAATGCATCAGACTCAGATTCCCACAGTTCATGAACCAATGCTGGAAGAAACGAACTCATACACCTATAGGCACCAGGAGACATACTGGAATTCGAGGGGTGGGAGATTCCAAGTATTGCTTTAGTTTCTAATCTTAACTTACTATATGACCTTTAGAAATTATTTTATCTAAAGATATAAAATGGGTATAGTAATACTTATCCGTCCTACTAGGGTGTTATGAAATGTCACTAATTAGACTAGTTTACAAAGCACTTTGAGACTTCCAAATGAAAAGTTCCACATACAATAATTATGAGTATTAGCATTATTATTAACATAACAACTTAGTTACCAGCTTCATTATCACTTGCTCTCTTGACTTCTTGCTAAGAAAGACATTCTCAATAGTTTTTTGCTTCCCCACTTACAGGTCTTCGTAAGAAGGATTTTTAGCATACCAGTACATGGGTCAAGAAACCATCCAAGAAGTCACATTGTTACAATTTCATGTGTTTTATTCTAATTAAATCCCCAAATCAACCACGTTATGGTAAACATAACATAGTAGTTTTAAAACTGGTTTTAGTCACAGTTCCCGTTAACTATGTGATAAAATCTATGAGACTGCTTCTGGAAAACCGCATACATACATTGCATACATACATTTGCAATCAATTTAAAGATTAAGTTGATTAAACATTAAAGATTAAAACCCTAAATCTAGGAAATATTTATGTAATCACCCACTACTGCCCAGGCACTGTTCTAGGCACTTGAGAACAGCAGTAAATAAGACAGAGCAAGATCTCTGCCCTGGTGGATCTTGCATGGGTATCAGGAAGCAGACAATTAAAAAATAATAAATAAGGTCTATTATGTTAGAAAAGGATAAGTTTTATGCAATAAAGAAAAAGTAGAGCTAAAAGTAAGCTAAAAGGAATAGGAAACACTGTGCAGACACTCTGCTCAAAGGATGAAACAGTGTAGTCCAGGTAGACCTTATTGAGAAAGTAAATTTTGAAGAAACAATTTGAAGGAAGTCAGCCAAGTCTATACCTGGTGGAAAAGTATTTCAGGCAGAGGAAGGAGCCAGGATGCAACCCCTAAATTGGGCCAGTAAGCAAGGGGAGAAGCAGTAGGAGGTGATGTCATTATTGCAATGATGGTAGTTTTACCCAGGATGGTAGCAATAGGGGAACAAAATGATCAAATGGTCAGTCTGGAAACAGCTGGAGGCAGAGTCAATGGAGTTTGGAAGTAGAGCAAGGGAGAAAGCAGGGAGGGTTAAAGCTGACTCTTGGTTTTTGGCCTGAGCAACTGGAAAATGGAGTAAATTTGAGGAGTAAAGCTATTCAAGAACTCCTGTGCACTTTGCATTTTCCCTGCTGAACCCTTAGAGCTGAAAATATCATCTGACACATATCAGGGGCTCAGTAAACATTTATTGCATGAATAAATCTTCTCCTAACAATGGAGAGGATACCACACAGAATATGGGGTGTACTGTCACAGAATACCCCATATCACAGAAATCCCCAATCATTCTTCCAATATTATCTCCTTCATCTTTCTAGGATTTAAATTAAGGGTGAATATGTAGAGTTTCAGCTGCAGGGTTACCTCACTTCGACTCCATCCCTGCCAAGCCAGCTGTTTTTTTTTTGTGTGTGTTTTTTTAATGGGGATATAACAGGGAATCTCAGAAATACACAACAAACTAGCAATAAGAATGACAAGGGGGTTATAATTTATCATCCAAAGAAATTATATCAAAGCTCCAAATAGCTTTAATTGATAATATTATCAACATCAGTCAGTACCCCTTTCTTCTTCTTCTTGAAGGTGGTCACTTCAGTCCAAGACAGTATTTCAAAGAATCAGTGAAAAAAGAGTCCCAGCCCAGAGACACATGGAGTAGCAAAGAAAACTGGCAAGGTGAGGGCTGTCTATGCTGCTATTGCAGTACCAAAGAGTTCAGAAGTCGCCAAAACATGCATGTATCTGTTTTTACAAAGTACTGCCCAGTAGAATATGTTTACGTCAAACGTATGAGAAACCGCAACATCAAAGACAATTCCCATTGAAGCTGAAAGCATCAGGCAGAGTTGAACAATGGAGAAAGTTGAACAAAGCTTTGTTGTAGTCAGTCATTCCCACAGATTGCTTCACAATTCACTTGCTAGTTGTGACCTCGAAGTTGAATTAACCTCAAATTGTTGATCTGCCACCCTAATATAGAGAGGTAAGAGGCACTCTGTGGTACTGATAGAAATATTTTATTCAAGCAAAGAGCTTTGGATTCCATATATGCTCATTCAATTCACTCAACAACACACCTGAGCAGTGGTTTAAGACTTTCGTCCCATTAGTAAACTCTTAAGTCTTCTTGCTAACTCCCACCCATGTTCACTGAGTTTGAAATTGACAAAAAGGAGTAGGTTTAGATGCTAAAATGTTAGAACATTAAAATATCAACTAATGCAGTTCCCTCACTGAAAAGTGAGAAAGTTGAGATCCAAGGATGTAGACCTGCTTATGCTACATTTGTTTAAACCACAGTCAGGCAAAAGCACAGCTAGATCCCATGTTTACAGACAGGACTCCCAGGTAAGCTTTTTCCTGCTATACATGTGTCTCAAACTCTTCCTACCGGCAAGCCCTCATTCATCTAAACAGGCAGGCTGAGAAACTCCAACTTTGTTGATTTCTAATTGAACCACACCTACGGTAGCAATGGCTTCAAAGGTTGGACATCATGCTGAATACCTGCTAAAGAAAAGTGCTTTCTCCTTTTGATATTTCTACAGTTGCTAGAAGCTTGGGGCTATAAACCTGGTTCTGCTGTTGACTGGCTGGGTAATCCTGGACAAGTTAGGAAACTGTGCCTCATTTTCCTCTTGTACAAGATAAAAGCACTGCAATCCACTGACCCTAAGGGAGCCTTGCAGGTTTAAGATTACATGAGTCGATGAATAATCTCCCTCTTTAACAGTAGTGTCTTTAATTATTTGAAGATTTATAGTAATTTAGCACCTTCCTTCCCTCCATGAAAATAACTTCACATTAGGGAAATGGATCAGTAAATTTTGATAAATGGATATAATAAAATAAGCAACAATCTTAAATTATATATGCAAAAAGTTAGTAATAATGCAGGAGATACTTTTTTGTTATGCTGATAACTGAGGAAATCAAAACACGATTGTATATATATTATCCCAAGTATATGTGTTTTCTACCTTGCACAACATTTAAAATAGTGGTTGGCTCTGACAGGTGAAATCAAGGGTGGATACTTGGTTTTCTACTTTTTTCTTTGAGTTTGTCTCTATTTTCCATGAAACAAAAAGCCACTTTATTTTTAGGGAAAATAAATAAGCTTTGTTTTTTAAAAAGATTTATGACCCTGGCATTTTGCAAGTACCTGAAAATTTATGCATTTAGCAAACATAGACTCTGCTCAGAATATAAATGAGCCCTGATAGGTAGAATGTATCTCATGCCTCTTCTAAATTTTAGTAGTTACCTAACAAATGTTTTTGCCCTTGACTGTAATGCTAGAAAAATCAAATCACAAGACTGTAAGGCTAGAGTTGAGAAGTGAAGTCTTCTACAAGAGCCAGGAAAGATGCTTTTCAGCAACCAGTTTGAATTCTTACATAGTATAAGCCACATGGTAGAAAATAAATAAAAGCAGATTAATTGATTGACTTATGGCCAAAAAGTATCTGGCTTCAGCTTTCTCCTTATGCCATTTGTGAAACCTGCAGCTCAGGGGCCCCTATCCAGGCCGAGTGGTACTTTCTAGCCTATGGCTCCTAACTGAGGATATACACTTGAAAAACAAGAGTCAGAATACCTAGACCAGAGATGGCAAATATACAGCTCACGAGCCACTGCTCTCTGCTTCCATGTCCTTGGCAAGCATTACTGATGGATAAGGCTTCCATCCTTTATTCTCGAAAACAAACTCAGAGACTTGGAAACAACATTGGCCATTCCTACCAACCACTGGGAGCTGGCATGTGGTAAGAATCCAATTCACTACCTCTTACTTGGGTGAAGTATTTTTGTTGTTGTTGTTGTTGTTGTTGTTGAGACGGAGTCTCACTTTGTCACACAGGCTGGAGTGCTGTGGCGCAATCTCGGCTCACCGCAACCTCCACCTCCCGGGTTCAAGTGATTCTCCTGCCTCAGCCTCCTGAGCAGCTGGGACTATAGGCATGTGTCACCATGCCCAGCTAATTTTTGTATTTTTAGTAGAGACAGGGTTTCACCATGTTGGTCAGGCTGGTCTTGAACTCCTGACCTCGTGACCCACCCGCCTTGGCCTCCCAAAGTGCTGGGATTACACGCGTGAGCCACTGTGCTCGGCCAGGATGAAGTCTTAAAATAGTTATGCAGCAATGTCTTCAGAGGAACAAATGAAAGATATTTGATAAATGAATGGATGGATGTGAGTCTTGTAATAAAAATGCTTTGACAACTCTAAAGTGCAAGGCATCAAAATCTTGACTGTGGATGAAAGGAGGATTCACTTCAAGCTGGCTTATTCACAGACTTGGCAACTTACTGCTGGTTGCTGGCAGGAGGTCTCAATCCCTTGCCAGATGGATTTCTTCATAGGGCTACATATCTGTTGTCACAACACGGCAGCCGACTTCCTCCTGAGCATGTGATCCAGGAGAACACAAGGTAGAAGTCACAATGCTTTGTATGGCCTAACCTCGGAAGTTGCACCCTATCCTTTCCTCACTATCCTGTTGTTTATACAGGCCAGGTCTATACAATATGGAAGAGTACTACACACGAGTATGAATACAGGAGGCAGGAAACACTGGGAGCCATCTTGGAGGCTGGCTACCACGTAAGTCCCTGTAATGGAGTTAAAGAAGTTTGAGATTCAATCCTTGCTCTCAAGGAACTCACAGTGTAGTTGAAGGAAGCCCATATATGCAAACAACAACAACAATAAAAACCAACAATCTGCTTAAAGAAAAAATAAAAACTATGACAGACTGCTAGAAACCCCCAGTATCTAAGTTCTCTGCCTCTTCTTGGGAATACTACTACATTTCATTTCCCATCTCCGTTGGGTTTTGGTCTGGCCGTATAACTGGTTTTGGGCAATGGAATATAAGTGGAGATGATACGTGTCACCTCCAAGCTGAGGTAGTAAAGAGCGGCATTGCCACCTCCACACTCTTTCTCCTTTATTTGATGGTTATGGCATGTAGAGGGTGGAGTCACTGTGTTCCTGAATGACTGTTTAGAGCAGGCTATGGCCCACACCTTCCCTGGACCCATGCTGGGCTTCAATATGTTTTCACAAAACTCACATGTGAAATTTTATTGCTATTTGTTTCAGCCCCTGGTATTATTTACCCTAGCAAACAAACAAAGTCATCCAAGGCAACAACCAATCTGTGCAAAATAAATGACTGTAAGCCTCCTCCAGATGAATCCATGTTTTACGAGACTTCTTCTCACACATGCATGGGGCTCAGCTCAGTGCAATGGCCCAGTAGACATTCCATAATTATTTAGACAGAGAGTATAATAGAAAAAGTAGGCAGCAACACTTCAGAAAACAGCCTGAGTGGATTCTTCACATTGCTTTGCAATCTCTTTCTCCCAAACCCCTTCCCTCAATAACAGTAGCCAGCAGGAATGCAGTAAATCTCCTATATGGTTTTCCTGCCATTAGCTAGTCTCTTTCCCCACACTCCATGTTGTACAGTGCCATGAGAGGAATCTTCCTTAAGGTCAACTCTGATTGTACCATTCCTCTGCTCAACAATCTCCAGTGACTCCCCACTGCTTTCTAAATTAAGTTATGTGCCTTATATTCACTTTCAAGGCTGGAAACTACCTTATATTTTGCTCCTTTCATTCATTCATTAAGCAAATTTCTATGGACCTACATTGCACCAGACACCACGTTAAATGCTAATTAGGTATGGCTCTTGCCCTTAAAAAGCTCAGGGTCAGGCATGGTGGCTCATCATGCCTATAATCCCAGCACTTTGGGAGGCTTAGGTGGGAAGATCACATAAGACCAGCCTGGGCAACCTAGCAAGACCCCATCTCTACAAAAAATAAAAATAAAGAAATTAAAAGGAAAAAATCTCAGTCTAGTGAGGGAATGATAGCACAATGTGAAAGTAAAAGAGGTAACTCAAAAGTGATTAAGCAGTAGAAGTATAGAGGAAGTGATAGCTATTTGGTGTAAGATTTCACTTAATAAAAATGGAATGCTTGCTATGCCCCACATCCACTTCATACTTTATTCCACTAAAAAGCCATTCTCCCACTCTAGAATACCATCTTTGCACCAGATTTACAGAAGAGTTACAAAGAGTGTACAGAGATCCCTCATGTACCCTCACCCCACTCACCCTAATGTTAACATCTTGCATAACCATGGCAATTTGTCAAAACAAAAAATTTAACATTGGTACACTATTAAACTATAGACTTTATTTGGGTTTCACCAGTTTTTCCACTAATGTCCTTTCCTTTTTCCAGGTTTCCACATTGAATTTGGTTAGCATGTTTTCTTGGTCTCCTTAATCTGTGATGGTCTTTTATTGTTTTTTATAACCTTGACAATTTTGAAGAGTACTGGTCAGGAATTTTGTAGAATGTCTCCCAATTTGAGTCTTTCTGATGTTTTCTCATGATCAGACTGGGTTTTGGGAATGGATAATACAGAAGTGAAGTGCCCTTCTTATCACATTATATCAGAGGGTATGTGATGTCAACATGACTTGTCCTTGATGAAGCTAATCTTGATCACTTGGATAAGGTGGTATTTGTGAGGTTTCTCCACTGTAAAATTTCTGTTTTTCCCTTTCCATGCTCTATTCTTTGGAATCAAGTCACTAAGTCTAGATGACACTGAAAAGGAAGGGGATTAAGCCTGTGACCCAGGAGAGGGGAGTATCCACATATATCATTTGGAATTCTTCTGCAGAAAGATTTATTTGTCCATTCTCTCTCCTTCCTTCCTCCCTCCCTCCCTCCCTCCCTTCCTTCCTTTGTTTTCTTTCTTCAATTATTTATTTGTATTACTGTGGACCTATAGATATTTTCTTCTTTCCTTGAGTTGTGTGATGCTCTGCCATTTTTAACGTGACGTTCATAGATACATGCTTAAGGTTATATACTACATTAAGTGCAGTCTTATCATCTTTCTTGACAGTAAACTTCCAGGAAAAGCAATGTGCCCTATTTCACTTATCATCAAAGTTAGGTCAAATGTCACCTTCCAGATGCCTACATTGGCCAGTCCTCTAAAGTAGCGCCCACCCCCCACTGCTGCCAGTCACTCTCAGATTATTCTGTTACATTTTTATTTTCTTTATAACACTTGCTGCTTGGTAGTAATTTTATAGACTTATTTATATACTTAATATTTGTCTTTTCCCACTAGAATAGCAGCTTCCTGAGATCAGGAGCATTGTTTTTCTTGTTCATTTCTGTATTCTCAGTGTCACAAACAGGGTCGGGCACATTGCCAGTACACGGTAAATGTTTACTGAGTAACTCAATAAATCTTCATATTTCTCACTATGCCCAGTGACTGGCCTTAGAGAGATCAATAACTACAAATGAGTGGAATCTGGAACTCTCCCAGTACCTGTTAAATTATGGTTAAATACATTTTTATTTATAAAATTCTAATGCATAAAAATAATTTTCACAACAACACTGACATTAAAAATAAAAATAACAAACATCTGAATATGTCTTTGCTGTCAGGCAGCAGATTCTACTTCCTGATTGTGTTGTATTCCTGTTAACACTGGAAATTCAAGTCATTGTTCTCTGAGCCCACACCAGCTGGCTGCGCAATGGAGAACAAGAGTAGAAACAGAGAGAATTGTCCCAGGTGCTGAGGGTCTCTGGCTCATGCCTAATCCACAAAGTAGGCCACTGAGATGTGCCTGGGTGGTCAGATAATAAAGAGACTGGCATAGGATGAAGAAAGAAAGAAGAAAGAAAGGAAAGGGGAGAGAAAGAAAAAGACAGAAATACATATACAAGCTCCCTCTCCCTCTCCCTCTCCCTCCCCTCCCCCTCCCCCTCTCCCTCTCCCTCTCCCCACGGTCTCCCTCTCCCCACGGTCTCCCTCTCTTTCCACGGTCTCCCTCTGATGCCGAGCCGAAGCTGGACTGTACTGCCGCCATCTCGGCTCACTGCAATCTCCCTGCCTGATTCTCCTGCCTCAGCCTGCCTAGTGCCTGCGATTGCAGGCGCGCACCACCACGCCTGACTGGTTTTCGTATTTTTTTGGTGGAGACGGGGTTTCGCTGTGTTGGCCGGGCTGGTCTCCAGCTCCTAACCGCGAGTGATCCGCCAGCCTCGGCCTCCCGAGGTGCCGGGATTGCAGATGGAGTCTCGGTCACTCAGTGCTCAATGGTGCCCAGGCTGGAGTGCAGTGGCGTGATCTCGGCTCGCTACAACCTCTACCTCCCAGCCGCCTGCCTTGGCCTCCCAAAGTGCCGAGATTGCAGCCTCTGCCCGGCCGCCACCCCGTCTGGGAAGTGAGGAGCGTCTCTGCCTGGCCGCCCGTCGTCTGGGATGTGAGGAGCCCCTCTGCCTGGCTGCCCAGTCTGGAAATTGAGGAGCGTCTCTGCCCGGCCGCCACCCCATCTAGGAAGTGAGGAGCGCCTCTTCTCGGCCGCCATCCCATCTAGGAAGTGAGGAGCGTCTCTGCCTGGCCGCCCATCGTCTGAGATGTGGGGACCGCCTCTGCCCCGCCGCCCCATCTGGGATGTGAGGAGCGCCTCTGCCCGGCCGCGACCCCATCTGGGAGGTGAGGAGCGTCTCTGCCCGGCCGCCCCATCTGAGAAGTGAGGAGACACTCTGCCTGGCAACCGCCCCGTCTGAGAAGTGAAGAGCTCCTCCGCCCGGCAGCCACCCCGTCTGGGAAGTGAGGAGCGTCTCCGCCCGGCAGCCACCCCGTCTGGGAGGGAGGTGGGGGTCAGCCCCTGCCATGCCAGCCGCCCTGTCCAGGAGGGAGGTGGGGGGGTCAGCCCCCCGCCCGGCCAGCCGCCCCGTCCGGGAGGTGAGGGGTGCCTCTGCCCGGCCGCCCCTACTAGGAAGTGAGGAGCCCCTCTGCCGGGCCAGCCACCCCGTCCGGGAGGGAGGTGGGGGGGTCAGCCCCCCCGCCCGGCCAGCCGCCCCGTCCGGGAGGGAGGTGGGGGGGTCAGCCCCCCCGCCCGGCCAGCCGCCCCGTCTGGGAGGGAGGTGGGGGGATCAGCCCCCCGCCCGGCCAGCCGCCCCGTCCGGGAGGTGAGGGGCGTCTCTGCCCGGCCGCCCCTACTGGGAAGTGAGGAGCCCCTCTGCCCGGCCAGCCACCCCGCCTGGGAGGGAGGTGGGGGGTCAGCCCCCCGCCCGGCCAGCCGCCCCGTCCGGGAGGTGAGGGGCGCCTCTGCCCGGCCGCCCCTACTGGGAAGTGAGGAGCCCCTCTGCCCGGCCAGCCGCCCCGTCTGAGAAGTGAGGAGCCCCTCCGCCCACCAGCCACCCCGTCTGGGAAGTGAGGAGCCCCTCTGCCCGGCAGCCGCCCCGTCTGAGAAGTGAGGAGCCCCTCCGCCCAGCAGCCACCCCGTCTGGGAAGTGAGGAGCGTCTCCGCCCGGCAGCCACCCCGTCCGGGAGGGAGGTGGGGTCAGCCCCTGCCATGCCAGCCGCCCCATCTGGGAGGGAGGTGGGGGGGTCAGCCCCCCGCCCGGCCAGCCGCCCCGTCCGGGAGGTGAGGGGCGCCTCTGCCCGGCCGCCCCTACTGGGAAGTGAGGAGCCCCTCTGCCTGGCCAGCCGCCCCGTCCGGGAGGGAGGTGGGGGGGTCAGCCCCCCCGCCCGGCCAGCCGCCCCGTCCGGGAGGGAGTTGGGGGGGTCAGCCCCCCCGCCCGGCCAGCCGCCCCGTCCGGGAGGGGGGTGGGGGGGTCAGCCCCCCCACCCGGCCAGCCGCCCCGTCCGGGAGGTGAGGGGCGCCTCTGCCGGGCCGCCCCTGCTGGGAAGTGAGGAGCCCCTCTGCCCGGCCACCACCCCGTCTGGGAGGTGTGCCCAGCGGCTCATTGAGAACGGGCCATGATGACAGTGGCAGTTTTGTGGAATAGAAAGGGGGGAAAGGTGGGGAAAAGATTGAGAAATCGGATGGTTGCCATGTCTGTGTAGAAAGAAGTAGACATGGGAGACTTTTCATTTTGTTCTGTACTAAGAAAAATTCTTCTGCCTTGGGATCCTGTTGATCGGTGACCTTACCCCCAACCCTGTGCTCTCTGAAACATGTGCTGTGTCCACTCAGGGTTAAATGGATTAAGGGCGGTGCAATATGTGCTTTGTTAAACAGATGCTTGAAGGCAGCATGCTCGTTAAGAGTCATCACCACTCCCTAATCTCAAGTACCCAGGGACACAAACACTGCGGAAGGCCTCAGGGTCCTCTGCCTAGGAAAACCAGAGACCTTTGTTCACTTGTTTATCTGCTGACCTTCCCTCCACTATTGTCCTATGACCCTGCCAAATCCCCCTCTGCGAGAAACACCCAAGAATGATCAATTAAAAAAAAAAAAAAAAAAGAAAGGAAGGAAAGGAAGGAAAGAAAGGAAAGAAAGGAAAGAAAGAAAGAAAAGAAAGAAAGAAAAGAAAGAAAAAGAAAGAAAGAAAGAAAGAAAGAAAGAAAGAAAGAAAGAAAGAAAGAAAGAAAGAAAGAAAGAGAGAGAGAAAGAAAGAAAGCGAGCTGGCCAAGGCTGCCAACTATCTAAATTTGAGTTCATTATGGTAGAGCCATTTTAAGCCTCATGGAGAATTTACCCAGTTGGGGAAGAAAGAAATGGAAATCTGAAAAGCCAGCAACAGTCCTTTCCCTGAACTGGAGAGGTGGCTGAAGGCTGGTAGGAATTTGGACTTTTCTTCCCAGCTTGTTTGGTAAAAATTATCAATGGCTGACATTTAAGAGAAATGAAATCTGATGAGGCAGAGTAAATGCAGTGTGAATGATTTGCTTTTCCCCATAACTGAGTGGATAAACATGATTATTTACTTAATAAAGAATTCTTTGATGTTCCCAAAACAATCCTATTAGTTTAATAAATGGTTGAAAAATTATGATTTATACAAGCTTGGTTAATAAATATACTCTGCAGTCTCTGTCCATTTATCATTGATTTCCATATGTTTGTACAGACAGCTGAGTTCTTTCTTTTCCTCTGAATGCTGCATTTGCAGGAAAATCAGGATTGAATTTAAAACATGAAATAATCATTATAAACCTCCTAGGTAAATAGTACTGACTCATTTACTCACACACTGAAGAATCAGGGCCAGCACCCAGGAATAAGAATCTTTTTCTATTTTCTTTCTGTCTTTTGGAAGAGAAAACTGACCCAGGGTATATCATCACCCCTAACTCGGTGCCAGAGTTGGGGAAGATAGGAGAAACTATATGTACTCCATGATCATTGCCTGCCAAAAGCACTTACCGGTGCATCAGAGATGAGCTTCTGAAAAGACTAAGAGCAAAAATCTAGTATCTGATCTCAAGTATGAAAGGCCATCCTGAGTCATATTACGAGGCTGCCATAGTATATTAATATATCTCACAGGCTTACTCTTTTAGATATGCCAAGTTTCTAAAATCATTGTCTTTGTAATCAAAAGCTTTTACTAAATACGTCACATGGTGGTAAGATAGTGAGCCCCTTTCAGTTGAAGTATGCAAGCTGAATCTGAATGGCCATTTGTGAAAAATGCTTTGAAAGAACATGTAGAGCAGATGGAGGGTTGGCTTGCAGGAACTCCAGGGTTTTCTTTTTTTTTTCAACTCCAGGGTTCTATGCAGTCAGCCACCTAATATCTTACAATCTAAATAGGAGGAACCATGTGGATGCTAGTCAATACTGAAAACCTACAATTAAAATAATTAAATTAAATGAATACATAAATTAGGTGAGAGCACCTGGACATTTGGTGGGAAGATGAGTGAGGAGGATATGAACCGTACTTAGAAGGCAATCTATTACACATGCTGTAAAGGTAGGAGACAAATTCTTATTGGAATGACAGATTAATATTTCAAGAGTTAGTGAGTGATGGGAGTATAACAGAGCTGTCACTGCTCCACTCATACCCCCTAGGCCTTATTACTTTAACACCTGCCTGCCCAACTTCCAACCCCCAGCAGCTGCATCTCTTTGCCCCTGAGCAAACATAGTGACTAGCTTCTAATGAATAGAATGTATCAGAAGTATTCGTTTTCCACTCCCGAAATTAGGTCATAAAAGGCATTGTAGCCTCCTCCTTGCTCTTTATCTTGGATTGGTCACTCTGGGGGAAGCCAGCTGCCATGTGGTGAGGACAATTGAGCAAGCTTATGAAGAAGTTCACATGGTAAGAAACTGAGGCCTCCTGCCAACAGCCCTGTGAGTGCGCCATCTTAGAAGTGGAACTTCCAACCTCAGTGAAGCCTTCAGGTGCCTGTGGCCCCTGCCAACATCCTGATTGACACCTCTTGGGCAAGAACCACCCAGCAAAGCTGCTCCCAAATTGCTAACCCACAGAAACTGTGACATAATACATGTTTATCATTGTAAGCTACAAAGTTTTAGGGAGGAGAGCAATTTGTTACACAGCAATAGATAACAAATACATTCAGACTAAGCTAAAATACAGAGAATGATCAATAAGGTCAAAGGCCAAAAAAAAAAAAAGTTCAAAGGCTTGGGAGATGAGGAGGAAGACAAAGCATGGCTTATATTATTTTTAACAAAAAGTAGAATGATACTGTTTATTTCATATATGAATTTTTTAAAAGCTGAACCTCAGATGGAAATTTATTAATCATAATTCTTAGATCATGACAGTTGTCTTTCATTCAGCAATGATCCTCTATTTTATTTATGATTTTAGTAATATAATGCACACTTATAAAACCAATGTTCAACTCAAGAACTAACTAGTCATTTACATTCACCTACACATAATTATATATTTTTCACTTAATAATATACCATATTTCTTCCTCATACCTACATAATTTTTTTTATGTCTACACAGAATTCTGTAATGAATATTCATACTTGATTAAACCGTTCTTTATTGTTGGACATTTAAAATAGTCCCAACTTTTTGTTATTAAAAATAAGATGGTGATGAATATCCTCATGCATAAATTAATGTGCTGCTGTGATTAATTCCTTAGGATACATTCTCAAAAGTGTGGTGGCTCACACCTGTAATCTCAGCACTTTGAGAGGCTGAAGTGGGTGGATCACGAGGTCGGGGTTCAAGACCAGCCTGGCCAACATGGTGAAACCCTGTCTTTTCCAAAAATACAAAAATTAGCCGGGTTTGGTGGTGTGTGCCTGTAATCCCAGCTACTCGGGAGGCTGAGGCAGGAGAATTGCTTGAACCTGGGAGGCAGAGGTTGCAGTGAGCCAAGATCATGCCACCACACTCCAGCCTTGGTGACAGAGCAAGATTCCCTCAGAAAAAAAAAAAAAAGTGCAAGTCTCTATGAAAAGGCAAAATCCAGCTCTACTGCTCCTGCAGCAACAGCTATCCCTGGCCTATCAGAAATGTCTCATCTTCTCCATACGAAGCCTCTGGATCATACACCTAGATCCAAGCAATTCAGTTTCCTCTGAAACAGTGGTCCCCATCGTTTTTGACACCAGGGACCAGTTTCATGGAAGACAATTTTTCCACAGATGGTGTGGGAGGGATGGTTTCAGGATAAAACTGTTCCACTCCAGATCATCAGGCATTAGTTAGATTCTCATAAGGAGCAGGCAACCTAGATCCCTCGCATGCACAGTTCACAGTAGGGTTTGTGCTTCTATGAGAATCTAATGCCAAGGCTGATCTGATAGGAGGTGGAGCTCAGGTAGTAATGTGAGCTATGGGGAGCCGCTGTAAATACAGATCAAGCTTCACTCGCTCTCCCACCGCTCCCTTCCTGCTTTGCCACCTGGTTCTCAACAGGCCACAGACTGGTACCAGTCCATAGCCCAGAGGGTTGGGGACCCCTGCTCTAAAAGATCAGAACTACAATGACAATGTTCCACATGCCTTTTTATCTATCACCAAGAACGAAGCCCCTCCATATTTTTTGTCTTCTACTCAGTCTTCCCCAAACGGTGCTGTAAATCCCAAATCTGTTCCACCCCTTTTCCTCAAAACCAAAATCCTTCCACTGCACCTTCTAGAAATTTCTCTTCATTGATGTCTCATAAATTTTAACTTCCTCTGTAAACCATACCCGCCCCCGTCTGCCCCACTTTTCTTAACCAAAACTTGACTCTACATCAGGAATACTGTTTCTCCTATAGCTCTCTCAGATAGAAGCTGTTTACTCTCACTCCTTTAAGACCATTATTTTTCTTCCTTATTGAATAAAAATCATTCTTATGTGTCTGGCAACTTCGTCTCTCTTTACAAGAACCATAGAGCAATTTTGTGGTCATTCTCCTCACTCGAAAAAGACATAAGCACATGTCTTCTTCTTCACCCCAACTCCTGACATCACTTGACATAGCCTCAAGTTTGGCCGCTCAAATCTTTAGTCTTCTCATCTCCAATGTTCTTTCACTCTGTGCTACACTTGGTTACATCCCTGACCTCATCACCAACAGAAACCATACCACGTGCAAGATTGGGAACTCAACTCAAGTGATAGCCAAAATTGGAAGCTATTGAACTTTGTGCTGATTCAGACAATGGGCACAGCTGAAAAAACTAGATGGAACAGATAAGACTTGATTGAAGCACGCGATAAAGGGCCCGAAGCCGCTCCTTGAAGAAGAGAGAACTGGAAGAGGAAGAGAAAAGCACTGGAACTGTAGGCTGAAGTTCTAGAAGGAGATAGGGCTACAACAGAGGTGAGAAGCGAGATCCCAGGGAAACTGATAAGCAAAGGGGATTTAAACTGTTTTGCTGTGACAAAAAATGTAATAATTATTTTTTTTTTTTTTTTTTTTTTTGAGACAGAGTCTCACTCTGTCACCCAGACTGGAGTGCAGTGGTGCGATCTCAGCTCACCGCAACCTCTACCTCCTGGGTTCAGGTGATTCTCCTGCCTCACCCTCCTGAGTAGCTGAGATTACCGGCATGCACCACCACACCCGGCTAATTTTTATTTTTAGTAGACATGGGGTTTCATCATGTTGGCCAGGCTGGCCTCGACCTCCTGACCTCAAGTGATCCTTCCACCTCAGCCTCCCAAGGTGCTGGTATTACAGGCGTGAGCTTCTTTGCCCCTTTTTAAGCTATTTTAGTTCAAAATTTAAAATGCTTGTTATGCTTCCTTACATGTTGGACTGATGTTTCTTTTGAATGCAACACCAGGGTGAGACCAGGCAGCCCAACATTATTCAAGGTACACAAACACTCCCATCTTTGGCCTACCCTTCTCACTCACTTTTCATACAAGGAAAATTCTTTGACTTGAGATCTCCAATCCCCTAAACTACGTCATCTTTTCTCTATAGTCATCAACTCCTTCCTATTTTCTAATTTCTTCCCAAGTTCAGAATGTGTGTCCAGTAGTTTAGTAATCCTCGACCTTGGATGGATGCCCACTGCAGACCTCTATGCCTCTGTGCCTGCATAATGCAGCTGTAATGGTGCTGGCGGGGATGCCCATAATGCTGCAGATTTTTTTAGAATCTATGTTTATAAATAAGATGAGTCTGTCATATTTTACAATTACACTGTCATCTAATTTACATGAGTTTACTTTTTAAATGAGATTTGGGGCATTCCTCTTTTTTCCTATTCTCTGGAAGTGTTTTATAGGATTTGAATTTTGATCATTAGATGTGTTTCCTTTTCCTTTTTTTTTTTTTTTTTTTGGTACAGTTGTAATTATGTTAGTCATCTCTTGGATGTGTTTTAGATAGAACTTTGTTAAAAACATCTGGGCCTAATAATTTCAGGCAGAAGTTTAAAGAAAAAGTAGATATTAACCCACTGATTCAATTTCTTTATTGGTTGTAAGTCTTTTCAGATTTCCCATTTCTACTTAAGTCAATTTTGGTATACATTATTTTCTAGGAGATTGTCTGTTTTGAATATCTTTAAATTTATTAGCCTGAAGTTATTTATGTAACTCCCTTATTTTTATTTCTACATCTGTAACCATGTGCCTTTTTCATTCTTAACACTGTATATGTGTGCTATTTCTTTTTTGTCAGAAATTAATTTGTTTAGGTTTTTATTTTAAAGAACACTTCTTTATTGATTGTCCCTATCTTATCTTTATTATTTATGAATTTATGATCTTTAAAATGTTTTTCCTTCTACTTTTTTCGGGTTTTCTTGAATTGAATGCGTAGCTTGTCATTTCAGGCATTCTTTTTTAAAAAACAAACCTCTTAAAATATAAGTTACATACAATAAAATGCCCAAATTTTTATATTTCATTGAGTTTTGATGAATGTGTAACCACCACTATAACCAATAAAGAGATCATTTCCAGTATGCCAAAATTCCCTTGTGCCCCTTTGCAGCCAACCTTCACCACTACCCTAGTCTGGTCCCAGGGAACAATTGATCTGCTTTCTGTCATTATAAATTAGTTTGCCTTTTCTAAAATTTAATATAAGTGGAATCATACACATATTTTCTTCTGTCTGGCTTTTTTTTTTTTGCTTAGCATAATGTATTTGAAATTTATTCATCTTAAAATTTATCCATGTATTAGTAGTTCATTCCTTTTTATTACTGAGTAGTGTTCCATTCTACAAATTATATTACAGTTTATTTCACTTGCCTCTCAATGGGCATTCGGGTTATTTCCAGTTTGGGGCTGTTATGAATAAAGCTGGTATACATACTCGTATACAAATCATTTTTTGAATGCATGTTTTTATTTTTCATGAGTAAATACCAGAAATAAAATTGCTGAGTTATATGTTAAGTATATGTTTAACTTATAAGTAATTGTGAAATTCTTCTCCCAAATATTTATACAATTTTACAACTACTTTGGAAAACAGTGTTTGAGATTTCCAATTGCTCCATATTTTCACCAACACTTGGTATTTTCGGTCTTTTTTAATTATTCTCAATAATATTTAAAGTCATCTCACTGTAGTTTTAATTTACATTTCCCCAAAGTCTAGTGATGTTCAACAACTTATGTGATCACTAGCCATTCATAAATCTTATCAATATGTGTTTTCCTCATTTTTTGTCTTATTATTGAGTCGTAAGAGTTATTTCTGTAGTCTAGATATAAGCCCTTTATTAAATATATTTTTGATACATAACTGAGAGAAAAAGAGAGGGAAAGTTTTGATATTAAACCTTTTCTATTGTTCTTTAATTAGTATTTTTAAAATTCCACTGTAATACATATTGACTCATGAGTTACTTACAAATGAATTTTGAATTTTCAAACATGTAGGTTCTTTTACATTATCTCTTTGTTATTGATTACTATCAATTGTATCGTGGTCAGAGAACATGGTCTGTTTTATGCTGGTTCTGAAATGTGTTCACATGTAATCATTTATGTTACTTTATGTGACAAATTTCACAAATGTATGCTCAAGGCGAATCTGTATTCTCTGTTTGGTTCATATATACTTTTAATTGTGATCAATGTTAGATCAATATTTTTAATTGTGTTGTTAAAATCTTCCATATATGTATTATAACATAAAATCTTCCAGTACAACTATAAATGTGTAGGTTCTACTGTACATCTATCAGCTTTTGCCTTATGTATTTCCAGGTCTTAGTATTAGACGGACACAAGTTGAAAAATTTTAAATATTTCTGGTGAATGTTAGCTATTATCATGTAGTGAGTGTTATTTCCCTAATAATGTTTTTGGCCTTAAACATATGACCTTTTAAAAAGTATTAGTAATAGTATTTGCGTGCTGTATCTTCCTTTATCCTTTCACTTTGAATCTTTTTATGTGCTTTTGTTTTAGATATGCCTCTTGTCAATACCATTGTATTAGTCTGTTCTCATGCTGCTAATAAAGACATACTGAGACTGGGTAATTTATAAAGAAAAGAGGTTTAATTGACTCACAGTTCAGCATGGATGGGGAGGCCTCAGGAAACTTACAATCATGGCAGAAGGGGAAGCAAACAAGTCCTTCTTCACATGGCAGCAAAAAGGAGAAGAATGAGTGCCCAGCAAAGTGGGAAGCCCTTTATAAAACCATCAGATCTCATGAGAATGAACTATCATGAGAATAGGATGGGGGAACCACCCCCATGATTCAATATCTCCACCTGGTCCCTCCCATGACGTGGGGATTATGGGAACTACAATTCACGATGAGATTTGGGTAGGGACACAGCCAAACTATATCAACCACCAAACTAAGTTGTTGTTTTTTTTTTTGATTCAATCTGGCAATTCTGTTTCTTTAGAAAAAATAGTTCCTTTACATTTATTGTGATTACATACACACCTACATATTGAGGTATAATTACCTAATGTAAAATATACAGTGTATAATTTGATGAGCTTTGACAAATGTATACCTTTGTAATCAACACAACAATCAAGATTATTCTATCCTAGAAATTTCTCTTAAGCTCCTTTCCCTTTATTCTCACTCTCGTCACAGAAACAAGCACTATTCTGATTTCTTTCCCTGTGGTTTAGTTTGGTCTGTTTTGGGACTTCATATAAATTGATTATTTATGTCTTTTTTGGACTGTCTTCTAATACTTAGCCTATTTTTTTGAGATTCATACCCATTGTTGCATGTATCAGAAGTTTATTGTTTTATTGCTGAGTAGTATATTATATGAATATAGTCACATATTTTTATCAGTACCATTTCATCTTTTGCTTTTAATTTACTTGCCTATTCTGTCCTTCTTTTGATTCATCATGTCTTTCATCCATTTTTTTCCCCATCAACTAGTTTGGGAGTTACATACTTTATTTCTATTCTTTCAGTAGTAATCATTAATAATTTAACATGCACACTAACAAAATGTAAAATTACTGAATACCTCTCATCTCCTCTTGAACAATACAAGTAGCTTAGTACACTTTATTTTCAATATTCACTTCTCATTTTACAGGTGTTTTGTCCAGCATTTTAGCTCCATCTTGTTTTCTGAAATTCCCAAATTATAATAATTATTGTTTCATACACTGAAGTTTAGTTTAGACTTATACATGATAACTAAGTTTTTTTGCTCACTATTTGTTTTTATTTGGCAGATTCTTAAGGGGTCATGGTTTCTTGTAAGACATCTTTTTAAAATTCCCTTAGTGATACTAGTGGTACACTCAGTTTTGTTTATTCAAAATTATTTACTTTGCCTTCATTTTTGAATAACATTTTTAAAATAATATTTTTAAAGAGAGATGTAATTCTTGTTCAAGAATAATTTTTTCTCAACAATTTGCAAATATTCTAGTCTTTTGGCTTCCATTTTTGAATAAATAATTTAAATTTTAATTGACATTATAATTGTACATATTTATGGGTACAGTTTGATGTTTTGATACATATATGTTGTATAATTATTCAATCAGATAGTATATGCATCATCTCATGAATTTGTCATTTATTTGTGTCAAGAATATTCATTTGGTAATATATGGTATTTTACTATTAACCAAAGTCACCCTCCTGTGAAACAGAATACCAGAATTTATTCCTTCTATTTAATTGTAACTTTCTACTCATTGACCAACCTCTCCTCATCCTCCCCTCCTCAGTCTGTGGTAACCAGTGTTTCATGGTTCTACATTCTACTTCTATGATATCAACTTTTTAGAAAAAATTTCACCTATGAGTGAGATCACGTAGTTTTTGTCCTTCTGTGTTTGGCTTACTTCATTTAACATGATATCCTCCAGGTTCATGTTGTCACAAATAATATCACTTCTCTCTTTTTAAAGGCTGAATAGTATTCTATTTTGTATATATATCACATTGTATTAATTCATTCATCCATTGCTGGACATTTAGGTTCAGTTCATATCTTGGCTATTGTAGATAGTGCTACAGTAAACATGGGAGTGTAGATTTCTCTATGACATACTAATTTTATTTCCTTTTAATATATACCCAGTTGTAGGGTTGCTGGATCATATGGTGGCTCTATTTTTAATTTTTTCAGGAGCCTCCATACTGTTTTCCATAGTGGTTGTACTAGTTTACAATCCCACGAACACGTGCAAGTGTTCCTTTTTCTCCACATCTGTGCCAGCACTTGCTTTACTTTGTCTTTTTGGTAGTAGACATTCTAACTGGAGTGAAGTGGTATCTCATTGTGGTTTTGATTTGCATTTCCCTGATGATTAGTTATGTTGAGCTTTTTTTAAATACCTGTTGGTCATTTGTATGTCCTTAGATAAATATCTATTAAGGTCTTTTGTCTATTTTTTATGTATTATTATTTATTATTATTATTTTTGAGACAGAATCTTGCTCTGTCACCCAGGCCGGAGTGCAGTGGCATGATCTCGGCTCATTACAACCTCTGTCCCCTGGTTTCAAGCAATCCTCCTGCCTCAGCTTCCCTAGTAGCTGGGATCACAGGCGTGCACTACCACGCCCAGCTGGTTTTTCTAGTTTTACTAGAGACAGGGTTTCACTGTGTTGGCCTGGCTGGTCTCGAACTCCTAACCTCAACTGATCCACCCACCTCGGCCTCCCAAAGTGCTGGGATTACAGGTGTGAGGCACTATGCCCAGCCTCTTTTGTCTATTTTTAAATTGGGTTATCTGGTTTTTGGTTTTTGTTTTGTTTTGTTTTTTTTGCTGGAAAGTTGTTTAAATTCCTTATGTATTCTGGATATTAACCTCTTGTCAGATAGATAATTTACAAGTATTTTCTCTCATTCTATAGGTTGTTTCTTCATTCTGTTAATCGTTTCCTTTGCTATGCAAAATTTTTTTAGTTCAATGTAATCCCAACTGTCTATTTTTGCTTTTGTTGCATGTGCTTTTGAAGTCATATTTAACAAATTTATGCCCAGCCCAATGTCATGAAGCATTTTTTCTATGTTTTCTTCTAGTATGGTTTCAGTTTTTGGTTTCACATATAAGTGTTTAATTCACATTGACCTGATTTTTGTGTATGTTGAAAGATAGAATATAGTGTCATTCTTCTGCATGTGAATATCTGATTTTCCCACCACAAAATTTATTGTAGAGACTGTCTTTTCTCCAATGTGTGTTCTTGGCACCTTTGTTGAAAGTCAGTTGGGTGTAGGTGTATAAATTTATTTCTGGACTTTTTATTCAGTTTCATTGGTTTATGTGTCTGTTTTTATGTCAGTACCATGCTGTTTAAGTTATGATAGCTTTATCACATATTTTGAAATCAGGCTGTGTAATGTCTCCAACTTTTTTCTTTTTATTCAGGTTTGCTTTGGCTATTTGAGGCTTCTGTGGTTTTATATGAATTTTATGATTTTTTTTCCTATTACTATGAGGAATGTCATTGGCATTTTGATAGGGATTGCATTAAACTGTAGAGCATTTTGGGTAGTGTGGCCATTTTAACAATATTAATTCTTCTAATTTATGAACACATGGTATCTTTTCATTTATTTGTGTCTTCTTCAATTTCTTTCATTGAAGTTTTATAGTTTTCATTGCAGAGTTCTTTCGTCTCCTTGGTTAAGTTTATTCCTAGGTATCTTTTTTATCTGTAGCTATTGTAAATGGAACCTCTTTTTAAATTTATTTTTCAAGTAGTTCACTATTAGTGCATAGAAATGCTACTCATTTTTGTATGCTAATTTTGTATCCTGCAACTTTTCTGAATTTTTAAAATTAGTTCTACAGTCTTTGGTGATGTCTTTGGGGTTCTCTCTATATACAATTATGCCATATACAAACAGGGACGATCTGACTCTCTCTTTTCCAATTTGGGTGTCTTTTATTTCTGTACCTTGGCTAATTGCTCTGGCTAGGACTTACAATACTACATTGAATAAAAGTGGTAAAAATGGTCATACTTGTCTTGTTCCTGTTCAATATAATGTTAGCTATGAGTTTTCCATATATGGCCTTTCTCGTGTTGAGGTACAGAACTTCTGTTCCTAATTTCTTGAGAGTTTTCATCATGAAGGATGTTGAATTTTGTCAAATGCTTTTTCTGTGTCTATTGAAATAATCATTTGGTTTTTGTTAAATCATGCTTGCATCCCTGAGATGAATCTCACTTGATCATAGTGAATGATCTTTTTATTTTTATTTATTTATTTATTTTTTATTATACTCTAAGTTTTAGGGTACATGTGCACATTGTGCAGGTTAGTTACATATGTATACATGTGCCATGCTGGTGCACTGCACCCACTAATGTGAATGATCTTTTTAATGTACTGTTGGATTCAGTTTGCTAGTATCTGGTTGAGAATTTTTGCATCTAGTTTCCTCAGGGATATTGGCCTGTAGTTTTCTTTTCTTATTGTGTTCTTTCCCAGTTTTGGAATCTGAATAATGTTGGCCTTATAAGATGAGTTTGAAAGTATTCCTCTTAAATTTTCTGAAATTAGTTTGAGAAGTGGTATTAGTTCTTTTTTAAATATTTGGTAGAATTCAGCAGTTTTCAAGTCTTTACCTACAGTTGAACTGTGGATGTTTTCCCTTTTCTTTCTAATTGCCTTTAAGAACTATTTGTCTCTCTGTTCTGCTCATACAGTGAATCTTGGTAGGATTTTTTTTTTATTGTTCCTTTTCTTGTCCTTTCTAAATCTGATGATTTATTGTCTTTGCTTCTAGAAAATTCTTAGCCTTTGATATTTTGAATATTCTCTGTCTCATTCTCTTTTTCTGGAACTTTATTTAGACACATGGTAAAAC
The DNA here is from genome assembly GCF_000001405.40 of Homo sapiens. Taxonomy (NCBI): domain Eukaryota; kingdom Metazoa; phylum Chordata; class Mammalia; order Primates; family Hominidae; genus Homo; species Homo sapiens. The sequence goes on from NC_000006.12 coordinate 19,953,394, forward strand.
TCATTTTTCAGTATCTCTTACTCTCTCTTTATATTTTCTATTTCTTTCATTCTTTCTGTAAGTTTCCTTAAGTTTCATATCTTGTAGTTCACTAGTCTCTCTTTAGCTCTGGCTAATCTTTTGCTTTAATTATTTCATTCAGTTTTTAATTTCAAAGATTATATTTTTCACATCTAGAAGTTCACTTTAATTACTTTCTCCTCACATTTTTCTATTCTGCCTTCTAATTCCTTAAATAATTTAATTTAATATTAAATTATTTTGGTCCTACTTCTGCTGATTATAATGCTGGCTGTCACTCATAGTGACTTGTGTTTTGTAATTTCTATTGTTTTTATAATTTTCTATTATAAACTCATTGTCATCCCAGTGACTTTAACGGTAGAAATTCTGTGAGGTTGAGTTAAAAGCATGTCTCTCCAGAGCAGATTTATTTTTCTTCTACCAAATGCCCTAAGATGACTTTAAGTTAATTTCTTAGTGTGAGGATTTATGGACCTTGTGAATAGCATAAATGCAAAGCCAACGCTTACATGAGGACTGACACATTGTTATGAAGTCTCAGAGGTGACTTTTTTCCATGTAGAGTACAGGTTGAGTTAGATACATTTCCTTTTGATGAAAGGCAAAGATGTAGAAATTTGAGGCACTCAGGTTTATATGGAGATATCAGTTCTAACTCCCCACCTCACATGGGCCAAAGCCTAGTCTCTCCACTGGGCTAAGCCATTCAAATCCTACTGTCTTCATTAATGAGATTTGTAAATATCTTTGAGGTAGCTGTAGCTTCAGTTTTGCTTTATCACCCTGATTATTTTTAAATTTATGATCATTGGGATTGCTCTTACTTTCTTGACAGTTCAACATGACATCTAGCAAGATAGCTGTTATATTTTACAAAGCACTTTAAAGTGTTGGTATTGGAAGGTTTGCAGAATATCTAGTTAATTATGTTGCTGAAAATTGCAATTACCATTAACTCTTCAACCCATATCTATGGATCTTCCACCTCTACGATTTATTAAAACTGTTCTTGCCAAGGACACCTCCATGTTGACAAACTTCATGTACAGTGTTCAGCCTCACCTTACTAGGCCTCTGAAAGATATTCAACATATGCAACCATTTCTTCATTCTTGATGTACTTTATTTTCCCATGCTCTTAGTTTTTCTCCTAACTCTCTGGGTACCTCTTCTTAGTCTTCTTTGCCCGTCTAATCAATCCAAACCTAAAGTTTTAAAATTATCCTTATAAATATTGTAATAAATAAGATGAGAGAAAAACTCAAAATGTTATAATAAGCAGCATATGTTTCAGGAGTCTTCAGTACACTGCCAGCTAATGCTTATTGTGATACTATTATTGCTATGCTCTTACTATCTTTTTTTTTTTGAGGCGGAGTCTCACTCCATCACCTAGGCTGGAGTGCAGTGGTGTGATCTCGGCTCACTGCAGTTTCTGCCTCCCAGATTCAAGTGATTCTCCCGCCTCAGCCTCCTGAGTAACTGGGATTACAGGTGCCTGCCACCACACCCAGCTAATTTTTGATCTTTAGTAGGGACAGAGTTTCACCATGTTGGCCAGGCTTGTCTCCAACCCCTGACTTCAAGTGATCCGCCTGCCTCGGCCTCCCAGAGTGCTGGGAATACAGGCATGAGCCACTGTGCCCAGCCCTTATTACCATTTTTATGTAAAGTTAATTGTCATGACAGTAAGTTAATCATAAAGTGAAGCTGAAGTTTAACATAGTTTGGCTTCACCATGCAGAACTATTCTGCCCTATAACGAAGAGGAATTACCTTTTTGCTTAAGAGTGTGAACTCTAAAGCTATACTACCTCATTTCAAATTCCTGCTGCACTACTTTCTAGCTTGATGATCCAAAGCATGTACTTTAACCCTTCTGTGCCTTGGGTTCCTCATCTATGAAATAGAAGAAATTAGAGTACCACCTAGATTTGTCAAAAGAATTGAGGACATACTTAGTCCCTGGCACATACAGGTTGAATACCCCTTAACCAACATGCTTGGGACTAGAAGCATTTCGGATTTTGAATTTTTTCAGATTTTGGAATATTTGCATATACAAAATAAGACATCTTGGGGATGAGACTCAAGCCTAAACCAAAATTGATTTATGTTTTAGATCACCTTATATACATAGCCTAAAGGTAAATTTTATTTTCCATTGGGAATGCTGAATAAACTGTGTGTTGTGTAACTGCTTTTTGACTGTGCCCCGTCACATGAGGTCAGGGCTGGAATTTTTCATTTATGGCATTATGTCAATGCTGAAGTAGTTTTGTATTTTTGAGCATTTTAGATTTTAGCTTTTCAGATTATGGATGCTCAACCTGTACTAAGCACTGTATAACTGCTATCTTTTAAGATTCTTTACACTATTACATTGACCTCTGTACTCTCCAGGTACAGCTAATGGGAGTAAAGAATTCTGAACTGTTCAAATAATTTTGACACAGAGATTGAGATAGCCAGGTATATTTCTGGACGCCCCATAAATGAGTTAGTCTCAGCTACTGCTGAGTCGCTTGCTACGTGCTTTGGAAACTCATACAGAATGCAAAGAAGCAAAAAGAGTAACTAGGAAGTCTCTAACTTTTTCATTTGTCCTAATGAAAATCATTAGATAATGGCATTGTTTAGCAATCATAAGGTAACAGCCTGGGGTAGCGGACACCTCAGTAGGTTCAGAATGACAGAGTGCAACATGGTCATAGTTAATGAGAATTTTTTTTTTTTTTTTTTTTTTTTTGAGACAGAGTCTCGCTCTGTCTCCAGGCTGGAGTGCAGTGGTGCGATCTCAGCTCACTGCAACCTCTGCCTCCTGGGTTCAAGTGATTCTCCTACCTCAGCCTCCCAAGTAGCTGGGATTACAGGCGTGCGCCACCACATCCAGCTGATTTTAGTATTTTTAGTAGAGATGGGGTTTCACCATGTTAGCCAGGATGGTCTTGATCTCTCGACCTCGTGATCCGCCCGCCTCAGCCTCCCAAAGTGCTGGGATTACAGGCATAAGCCACCGTGCCTGGCCGTTAATGAGAATTTTCTAAGCATAGCTGGCCCTCCAAGACACTTCGCTGAGATATTCCTAAGTATTTCATCTCAGGGCATTTCTGGGAACACTGGCATTTCACCATAGCTGAGACCATAACACCACCAGTTTCCACTGTGCAATCTGCCACAGCAAAACAGCAGAGAACTATCAGGAAGGCACAGTCAGCTTTGCTTGAGTGCCAATAAGCAAAACCTGGTGGCTGCCATGCTGGATCACTCTGCCACGCCTGGTTACCAGGATAACTTGAAAGTACCTGTGAGGTTTTCCCTGAGCTTTCAAATGTGGTCCAGGATAAATTCGGAGAACTTCTAAATGACCTGAGGTTTCACAATAATCCTTATTGGGTAAAAACAGGGGAGCAGGTCAAATCTGTATTCTCTCCCTCCTCCCATGTCTAATCTGTCTTGACTGTGATAGGCTGTGAGGACCCAGACCCAAGAATGAGGACTCCCAAAATATACTACTACAAACAAATATGAAGGGAGGTATCCCAAAGCTGGAAGAAACCTGGCACAAACACTTTGACCCTAAAAGAATACACCAGCCTCAGAATGTGCTTGCTTACAGGGGACACCAAGCACGTATAAGCACCTACAGGGCCAGGTAGATAATAGAAAGCAGTAAGGAGAGGGTAGGTAGGTGGGAAATTGGAGAGTGCTTTATCTGAAGTGGCTGCAATTGATCAGCTTCAGAGAAATGTTACCCAACCAACAAAGGTCCAAAGCTAATCTAATTCTTTTTGCTGTTGTTGTTGTTGTTTGTGAGACGGAGTCTTCCTCTGTCACCCAGGCTGGAGTGCAGTGGAACAATCTCAGCTCACCACAACCTCTGCCTCCTGGGTTCGAATGATTCTCCTGCCTCAGCCTCCCAAGTAGCAGGGATTACAGGCACGTACCACTGCGCCCAGCTAATTTTTTGTATTTTTAGTAGAGATGGGTTTCACCATGTTGGCCAGGCTGGTCTTGAACTCCTGACCTCAGGTGATCTACCTGCCTCGGCCTCTCAAATTGCTGGGATTAGCTAATCTAATTCTTTAAGAAAAGCTAGAGGTCAAATTGTTCTCTGAAATCTCTCAATTTTGAAATGTTGGTAACTATTTTAAATTGGTCAAAAACTTACATCTGCAGGTCATATTTGGCTCGTGGCTGTCAATTTATCACCCATGTTTTAGAACAAGGGTTCCTGACCCTTTTATAATGCACCATGTTGCCACAGCCTAGGGCATGGCCACATTCTCTGTGACCAAGGGACATAAGAGCGCTTATACACTGCAGGAAAGGCATGCTGGAACACCACGCTCCCTAGCGAGGATTGGTGCAACCAGGAATGGAGAAAAACTGTTATTCCCCCTACACACAAATGTCTTCTTTTTTTTCCTACTTCATGCTTATTATTATCATTCTTCCTAAATTCTTTTAGAAAGAAAAAACATGCATCGTATTTCTATATCTTTATATTGTTATTTTATGTATTCATCATAATTAAATGTATGTATACCTGTGTCTTCCAAAATTGTGAACACCTTAAAACACTTAGAATTACAAGTGCCTTCATATACACCATGGAATACTATGCAGCCATAAAAAATGATGAGTTCATGTCCTTTGTAGGGACATGGGTGAAGCTGGAAACCATCATTCTCAGCAAACTATCGCAAGGACAAAAAACCAAACACCACATGTTCTCACTCATAGGTGGGAATTGAACAATGAGAACACATAGACACAGGAAGGGGAACATCACACACTGGGGCCTGTTGTGGGGTGGGGGGAGGGGGGAGGGATAGCATTAGGAGATATACCTAATGTTAAATGACGAGTTAATGGGTGCAGCACACCAACATGGCACACGTATACATATGTAACTAACCTGCACATTGTGCACATGTACCCTAAAACTTAAAGTATAATTAAAAAAAAAAGAATTACCAGTGCCTTGTAGTTTATTAATGTGTCAGGCTCAAGGTGCAGAATGCCAAGTGAGAACTATCAAAGGTCCAGATGAAATGTGGCGCTGCTGTACCAGCCTTCTGCTGACAAACTCCTGAACTTCCTCCATGTGAGAAAATGCACCTTGTGTGGTGAAGGCTTTGGTATTGGTGGCATTCTGTTACATATGGCCAAATCTAATCCTAACTTATGTAGCCTGAAAATTTTTTATTATTAAAAAAAGAAGCCTTTTTAAAATGCCTTATAAAGTAGAAACTTCTTGAGTGTTTTTAATCTTTTGATATAGCAAATTTAGGGATCTATCAAGAACCAGCCATGGGCTCTAAAGTTAGACTTTAACAAATTGACTGCTTTCTTCAGCCATTTGGCAAAACCTCAAATTTAGAAGATTGAACTGAAGTGGGTCATGAATGTAATGACGTTTTCTTAGGATTTGGAGGACACCTTTCTAAAACATTTTGTCAACAGTTCTCCATCAATCTTCAGAGCTGATTAGGAGATAAGCTGGTACTGCCAAACCCTTCTCCCATAATTTTCATGTTTCTTTCTTGTGACTTCTAAGTTTATAACAATTAGCGTGTTTTGCTAAATCTGAGAAGGATAATCCATGACTGCTTTTAATTAATCAATCAATAACTACATCCCAAAGGATGTTTTTCATTTTTTCCTTCCTGCTGGAACACCAGTTCCCTGAAATAGACATGCCCATAATATTCAAAGTGACCAGAAGCATAAATGTGACCACAGAAACAATGACCTTAGCAATTATGCCAGCAATGTGAATTGTTCAAGAAAGGAGGTGGGAACCACCTCCATTTATTCTCAATCAGTCAAAGCAGGGATGTTTGACTATCCAAAATCATTCAAAACAAACAAATAAGCAAAACAACAAGCAGCACAACTAATTCTAAAAAGCATGAATACAACCACCAATAAAAAACTTCCGCAATTTAAATTTATCACATTAAATGGTCTAAGGATTGTTATAATGAGCGAGGCACTCTGATCATCTGAAGCTAGGCTGCGGATGGTTTCATGCCATAAAAGGGGACAATATACTGAGACTTTTCACAGAAAATGCCCTTTTGAGGATATTAAAGCAGATGCTCTCTTTCCCTCACTCTGGAGCCTCCTATGGGGTGAATCCAGTAGCTTCTAGATAAAGTGCCCACGCTGAAGTATTCAAATCCATTTAATGAGGCATCATGACAAAATTTGGCAAGGGTTTTTTCCCCCTGCTCCTTTTCCACCTCAAACTGTTTTGATTCATTTGTGAAAAATTTACTTTTGCCAGTTGAAAAACCCTTTTGTGGCTGCCAGTCACTAATCTCCCCTCTGACACATCCATTCAACTAGACTAAATCCAATATTGACATTTGTATCTTAGGGGAAAGGAGGTTAAGCACTGGGAGGAAAAGCAACTCCCGAGCCACGCTGAACACTGCACAGCATCTAAATGAGCTACGATGGGTTTGATTCGAGGGGAACCCCCGAGAACTCAGGGGGGCTTTGATCACATCCAGGGGCCGTCATTCTCTAGCTAGGCAGCCAAATAGACGTTGTTTGATGCTATCTATAGGTATCCGTAGCAGCCTAATTAAAATTCTTCCTAGTGCTCAGAAATCATTCTTCAGTACCATCATCTCAAGGGAATCTTTTCAATGTTTCTACTGGACTTTGCTTTCTCTGGCATTAAAAAAAAGGAATCCTCCACTCTAGTTCCTTGAAAGTTCTGCTCACTTCTAGGATTACCAGAATTCTCTTTCTTAGACACTGGCCTTAAGGTCATAGGGAGGTAGTAAGGGTCCTTCCTACCAAAGCCATGCTAGGTGATTTATTTAGTGAGAACCCTCCCATACCTCCCACCTCCATGCCCAAAGTATGTGACTACATGTCTTCAGTGTGCGATGAACATATTGACAGCTGCTTACTTAATACAGGCATTGCTAGAAAAACAAACAGGTTTTAATTTGAAATTTAAAATACAGATTAAATTGCCATGTAACAAAATAAATATTTGCCATGGCAATTAAAGAGTGAATTTGAAATGGCTGAAGAACTGAATGGAAGTCAAAGTGAGAAAAAGTCAAAGTACAATTTGCAAACAAGGGGAATGACCCGGTATTATTTGTATCCAACCTTCTTCATCACTGAGGCATTACTCTTCTTTGTGTTTCTTACCAAGTTTAACAAAAAGGAAACTATAATATGACACAGAGGGTGCAATCCGTATAGCTTTCTACTATTTGCTGAGCCTTGGTTTTTTCTTTTCTTCTTAATTAAAAAATTCTCTAGTAAATAATATCTGACTGTCATAGCATGGAACCACTTAGCCCCTATGCCATCTTGGTAATGTATCGCAACATTCTGTTGCTTTAGAAACATGTTAATTTTGTCCAAGTTGCTGATGGGGTGCAAGTTTGTCTACGAAATTTTAACACAATACTCTTTTATGTCTTTCTGCAGAGTTACGTACACACTTCTGTTACTGTAAACCTGCCACACTACAAACTTTGGGAACACAGAATAGTCATACATTTTTGAAAGTGTGTTTATACGACAATTTATATTTTGTTTCCAATTACCTTCAAAAGGAAAATCACCAGTAGTGATTTCCTCTCTTTATTTTTAAACCAAGAGTAGTTAACTATTTTTCCCCAACAGTATATGATTTTTGCCTGTTTTGTAGCTATCACAAACATCATAAGCTGGTTTCACCGCATATTAACAGCCACATCAGTTTCTTATTGTTCCTCACGTTCAAGACAGACAAGTCAACTTCCTATATTCAAGCCCTCTAGGTTCCTCTTTCCTACCTACCTTTGAGTAAAACTGGTTGTCAAGCTCCATTAAGTTATTAATAGGTAAATGTTATAGCATGCTGCATCGGCTACTCATCACTATTGCCACCAACTCCATAGATCAGTTAGAAAAATGGTGAAGCACAGAAAATTTATAGTGTTAATGTCAGAGGAAAAAAATCTTAAGCTTCAATCAACATTTAGACCGAAAATGCCATCTATTTAGGTTTCCCTGAGAGTATAACATTGGTTTGTGAGTACTGATGAGAAATAAAGATCATCATAGACTCTTAGAGTGGGAGGGATATTGAATATTGATTATGCCAATATAGTTTGCTGTTGGGCCAATTAATATCATTTACCCAACAAATTCATTGTCAAACCATAACTGTCAAAAAGTTAAAACTCTTGTACAAATATTGCATGCATCTGTGTTAAAAATGTATTCAACTTATTAATGAGTTGAACCATTAAAATAACATTAAAATTAAGATGAGAAGATATTATACAAGGAGATAATTCTAAAATAAGTTTGCTGAATTAGAGAAAAAACTGGTTAATGTCCTGTAGGTCATAAGGGTAATAAAACCATAACTTTTGGGGTTATCTTTCTGGACAACAATTATTTCCCTCTCCTTTCAGGTTTACAAGTTAACATATATTTAATACTTAACCCAATGTCTGAAACTTTAAGTAATAGAAATAAAATCAAACACAGGTACAGTTCCTAGATAATTAAATAATATTTGGGGGTTTTTAAGCAAACATTGAGAATATGTAATTGGAACATGTTTCTTTCTCCACTGGTTCATGTTACCCAGGTTTATGTATGAGGTTATAAAAGGCAAATGTAAGCATGTTTTCTTTTTTTTAACTGTTATTTTAAGTTCAGGGGAACATGTGCAGGATGTGCATCCTTGTCACATGCCTTCTTAAAGATTCATTGTAAGCTGTTTCATCATAAGCTGTTTTCTTTCAGTGAATGGAAGTGTTTGACAGAGAAACACCTTTGTAAGCTAACCTTGAGAATATGTTATTAGAAACATGTTCTTTCTCCATTGGGCCCTAGATATTTAGGTGACCCTGCTCAAAATATAAAACAAAACCTCAGTATGACATTAAAAGAATATACCTTAAATCTTTTGTTTTATTTCCAAGTTTTAAATTGCATGATTAACAAACTTTTAGTTTATCCAGGGCCTGTGGAAGACTGAATGATGGCCCAAAGATATACATGTCCTAATACCCTGAACTTGTGAATATGTTATCTTACATGGCAAAGAGACCCTTGTAAGTGTGATACAATTAAGGACTTTGAAAAGAGAAGATTATTGTGGATTATTCCAGAAGGCTCAATGTAATTACAAAGAAGGAGCTCTTTAGATCCTCCTCTTTAGAAAAGGGAGGCAAGAGGATCAAAGGCAGAAATATGAGATGTGATGACAAAAGCTGAGGTTGAAGTGATACCCTGTGAAGATGGAGGAAGGGGCCATGAACCAAGGAATGTGGACAGCCTTTAGAAGCTGGGAAAGGAAAGGAAGTGGATTCTCCCCTAGAACTTCCAGAAGGAATGCAGCCCTACTTTGGACTTCTGACCTCTAACAGAGTAAGACAATAAATTTGATTTGTTTTAAGCCTTTCGATTTGTGCTAATTTGTTACAGCAGCCACAGCAAACTCATACAGGGCACACAGAGAGGAACCTCATAGCATCTTAAATACCAGACTTGGTAGAATAATGGCAAATTCTAAAAATCCAAGCTATTACCTTAAGTAGTTTGACCACCTACAATTAGTAGATCTAGAATGTAGAAAAGTTGATTTGAATGTTTAAGCATAATTATGTACAAAAACTACTCTTACTAAGTTAAGGACAGTCTGGTTAATCAAAACTAAACATGTAAACAAACCAAAAATTTCCCTTTGTTGAGTTTGCAAGTTTAAAGAAGAAAATCAAAACATGCTTTCATATGCTCACCAACAGTATGACTGCATAATTAGCACAGTCACTCTTAAATTCAACAAATGTGGCTTAAGTTTTTAATTCTTCTAGCTGACTATAAACTTTGAGTTTCAATATTATACAGCATTTTCTCTGCTGTATATACAGCCATGAATCAGTTTGTTGTTTGACTCGCTCCTTGATATTGACTTCTAAAGCGACTAAATTTAATTCCTATACTTTATTGAAGCCACCTGGGTTTGGTTTTATTTATTTATTGAGATGGAGTCTCACTCTGTCGCCTAGGCTGGAATGCAGTGGCACAATCTTGGCTCACTGCAACCTCCGCCTCCTGGATTCAAGCGATTCTGCTGTCAGCCTCTCGAGTAGCTGGGATTACAGGTGCATATCACCATGCCCAGCTAATTTTTTGTATATTTAGTAGAGACGGGGTTTCACTGTGTTGCCCAGGCTGGTCTCGATCTCCTGACCTCAAGTGATCCACCTGCCTCAGCCTCCCAAAGTGCTGGGATTACAGGTGTGAGCCATCATGCCCAGCTTTGTTCGTTTGTTTTAACCCATGTTCCCTAGCCACCCCCAGGAGTGTCTTATGTGCAGATCTGATCTTCAAGGTTTAGGAAGGAATGATGGCACTTATCACTCCCCTCTGTAGAACTCTTTAAAGTGTTCCCATTGCGAAGTGTTTACCTGAGGCTGGAAGACACAGCATGGTCTGGCCCCTCTTTGACCCTCCAGCCCATCTTACTCCTCCTGGCCTCATACTCTGGGCTGACACCCACTGTACCTCCTTCAAGTTCCACTGATCAATGCACCTCTCCTTCAGGAGAATTCACCCTGCTTCCCTACCCACAACCCAGGAAACATCTATCCCTTCTTCAGAGCCAGGCTTAGACCTAACCTTTCTTGGGAGTTAGAGACTCTGCTACATGCTTCCTCATTGTTCTGTTTGCTTATTAACTGTAAGGTCACTGGAAATGGGGACAATGTCTATCCATTTGTCCTCTGTTGGGTTACACTAAGGCGACAAAAGAGCCTGCATACTTGAGTCCATGCCATTTCCTCCACTGATAAGATCTAGGAAAAGAAGCAGCAAATGGTAGAAGTCAGTGTTATCAAGCCCAGACAGACCCTTTACAAGACACTGGTCACAGAGATCATGAGCAAGGGTGCAACCTCCAAACTTGGGAATGAAACAACAGAGTAAAGTACTGCAATGTCAACTCCTATGGCACTAGCCTCTGCAATATCACCAGGAATTAGCACGTGAATTTCTCTGAGATTTCCATGGGATTCCCTGTGACTCATTTCTTGGGCACACTGGAAGCAGCATCTCTACAGATGGTGGTTGCTTGGGAATCCTTAAAGGGTGTGACAAAGCAACAGGGTTTTCACTGGGACCTGTAAGGCTGTACAGTTTAGGAGATCCTCCATGTGCCTGAACATGTCAGTAAACATTTGTTGGTCAATAAACTTTTGTTGAGCAATGAAAAATCTTAACAACATTTTTGCTAATTTGTACATTGTCCTATTTCATCTGAGCTACTGACCTTAATAACATAATAACATAATTTTGTTATTAGGCAGCAATTTGGGTATTAGAGGTTATTTTTAACTATCTGATTTTATTCATCTTGTTACTACTCTGAATTTTTTTGTCTCCTATCCATACCCGAGCTATCACTCACTAACAATTAATATTAGAACAGGTTAAGATAAGATGAAACAGAAGTTAGCAAGAAGAAAGAGGAGAAGGAGAAGAGATTATAATTAGTTCTTAATGGCATTTTAGTGCAACTGGTTTTTCTTAGTTTCTTGAGCTTTTATTCATTTCCAGATAATTCATGCCTTGTCTAGTTAAAACCTTCACAAATACCCGGAGAAGCCAAGGGTAAGGGGTTTCAAACAAAATATAATTATAGAGTCAAGGGATCAACTTTTTAAGTCGGAAATAATGCTTTAAGTTTACCATCATTAAAATTCTTTCTTCTAATACTAGATGTTATTGTTCACCTACAATCAATCCAAGAGCTCCACTGTAAATGAAATTGTAGGAAAGAAATATATTGCATGCACAGAAGCAAACCTGTGTTTCCCTGCTAGACTCTAATTTGGGATGTTATTTCCCTCTCATCCAATTTACCATTACCAGAAAACGAAAATTTAAAGTATTGGTATTATTCAAAGCATCAGCAAAATGTATACCTAAACTGCTAGAAGTTAAAAATGTATCTTTATATCCAGGAATTTAAAAGTTTCTGGAGACAAACAGGAAACACGAATGTCACAACTGCAATTGAGAAAAATGTAAGGCAATTAATTATAGACTGTCTAGATTCTTAAATTAGAATTATACACAACAAAGTAGATGGTCTTTTTTTTTTTCTCAAAAAGGCCCCAATGGGAAGGTGGTATAAATTTAATTTTGCTGATCATCAAGAAAGCTTTTGATCTAGTGCCATCTAAAAGCTACCACAAAAGTTACCTTTTAGCTATTTTAATATAAGTCAAATTTTGGAAAGAACATTAAGTAGATAAAATACGAGCTTGGGAACCAAGACAAATAACATTAATAAGGAAATGTTTCCAAATGGAGAGTTGTGTAAAAGAGATGTTGAAAGAATCAGACCAATATTAGAAATTATTTAGTTCCATTTTATGACACTAAAGTTAGGTCATAGGGAAGGCATGATAAACCAATGTTAAATTTCATAATCGAACTTTAATTACAACTGTAACAAGTAACGTGCAAAGAAACTACATCAGAATAGATTGGATAGATTATCTGGTTACTGTTTTCACATATCAGTAAATGTGTGCAGTGTGGAGCAGTTTAAGAGCTCCTTGTGCTATTTAAACCCTTCTACCCATGTTCCAGAAAAAGAGAGACAGGCTCCCTTATGGAATTTACAAACCAGAATGGAAAACAGACATGGAACAAGAAACTGCCAGCGTGAGCTGCACCACACTGTGGGTAGCATTAGAAGAGAAAGCACAAGACTGTGTGGTCAGAAGAGAAGGTCGTGTGAGAGCTGGACAGCCCAGCCAGGGAGCACAGCAAGAGCTCCTGGAAGAAAAGCAGATGCTAAATGTGGTGGGCAACCAAACTTCGTAGAAAACTGTCTCCTTCTGGGAAGGAGCAGCAATCACGGTCACTGGGACCAGACACTCAAAAGCAGCCCAACTCTCAACTATCTAACCCCACAGTGAGGGGGAAGCTGAGGTCCTACTTCGATCAAACTGACCAGAACCTGCAGGGAGAGCTCTCCAAAGCCTCACATGCATACAGAGTATCAGTCTCCAATTCCCTTGTCTTTTCCTTCTTCCCCTTAAGTAGCAAAGGTAGGTCCTTAAGTTGCCATATTCTTTTTTTTTTTTTTTTTTTTTTTTTTTTTTTGAGACAGAGTCTTGCTTTGTTGCCCAGCCTAAAGTGTAGCGGTGTAATTTCTACTTACTGCAACTTCTGCCTCCTGGGTTCAAGCGATTCTCCTTCCTCAGCCTCCTAAGTAGCTGGGATTACAAGCACCTGCCACCACGCCTGGCTAATTTTTGTATTTTTACTACAGATAGGGTTTCACTATGTTGGCCAAGCTGGTCTTGAGCTCCTGACCTCAGGTAATCCACCCACCTTGGCCTCCCAAAGTCCTGGGATTACAGGTGGGAGTCACCATGACCAGCAAAGTTGCCAAATTTTTTCCATCCACATTTCTTTTTTTTTTTTTTTTTTTTGAGATAGAGTCTCGCTCTATTGCCCACCCAGGCTGGAGTGTAGTGGCACGATCTTGGCTCACCGCAAGCTCCCCCTCCCAGGTTCACACCGTTCTCCTGCCTCAGCCTCCCAAGTAGCTGGGACTACAGGCGCCTGCCACCACGCCCACCTAATTTTTTGTATTTTTAGCAGAGGCGCGTTTTCAGGCTGTTAGCCAGAATGGTCTCGATCTCCTGACCTTGTGATCCACCTGCCTCGGCCGCCCAAAGTGCTGGCATTATAGGCGTGAGCCACCGAGCCCGGCCTCAATCCACATTTCTAAACAGATGATGCATCATTATTCAGCACGAAACCGTAAGTGAAAACTTGTGTTGTGTGACCCTTTGATTATAAAATGTTGAATAATCCACATTATTTTTATTTATTTATTTATTATTTTATTTTTGAGAGGGAGTCTCGCTCTATTGCCCAGGCTGGAGTGCAGTGGCGCCATCTCGGCTCACTGCAAACTCCGCCTCCCGGGTTCACGCCATTCTGCTGCCTCAGCCTCCCGAGTAGCTGGGATTACAGGCGCCCGCCACCATGCCTGGCCAATTTTTTGTATTTTTAGTAGAGACTGGATTTCACCATGTTAGCCAGGATGGTCTCGATCTCCTGGCCTCGTGATCCGCCCGCCTCAACCTCCCAAAGTGCTGGGATTTCAGGCGTCAGCCACTGCGCCTGGCCTTTTTTTTTTTTTTTAATTTTTATTTTTTGAGATGGAGTCTCCCTCTGTCGTCCAGGCTGAAGTGCAGTGGTGCGATCTCTGCTCACTGCAACCTATAACTGCGTTATTTTAAAGTACATGGTTTTTCAGTGTCTACTATATGAAGGCATTTTGATATTTGCTCTGAGATGTTCAAGAGGAATCATCTGAGATGTACTAGATGTATAAAGAGGCCTCAAAAAGCATATGGCTTGGCCGGGCACGGTGGCTGACGCCTGTAATCCCAGCACTTTGGGATGGTGAGGCGGGTGGATCACGAGGTCAGGAGATTGAGACCATCCTGGCTAACATGGTGAAACCCCGCCTCTACTAAAAACACAAAAAATTAGCCAGGAGTTGTGGCACCCGCCTGTAGTTCCAGCTACTTGGGAGGCTAGGGCAGGAGAATCGGTTGAACCAGGGAGGCAGAGGTTGCAGTGAGCTGAGATCGTGCCACTGCACTGCAGCCTGGGTGACAGTGAAACTTCATCAAAAAAAAAAAAAAAAAAAAAAAAAAGCATATGGCTTAGTGGAAGTAAAAAGCTAATACAGAAATAGCAGTAATATATGTTCACAATGTTTTGACTGGTCAGAGAAGAGACTTTGTAGGATGATGTCTTCACTATCTACTGCTGTGTGACAAATAACTCCAAAATTTAGTGGTTTACAAGAATAATTTGTTATTTCTCATGGTTTGTGGTTTCCTTATCCAAATGGTTCTTCTACCAGTCATAGTCAGGATCACTGATAGGGCTACATTCATTTGACTGCTCAGCTCAAGCTGGTAGATCTAGATAGGCTCACTCATGCATCTGGCAGTTAATGTTAGCTATCAGCTAGATGTCTTAGTTCTTCATATCACCCCTCATGTTCTAGTAGGCTATACTAGGTTATTTCACAACATGGCGTCTTAGTATTCCAATAAGGGAACAGTGAAAGCCATGAACATCTTAAGGCCTACATATTTTATTGGTCAAAACAAGTCACAAAGCCAGATGGGATTCAAGGGGGTGGGAAATAGGTCCATCCTCTTGCTGACCGGAGCTATAGTGCCACATTACAAGGGCATGTAGACACTGGGGACATAATTCATTGGTGGTCGCTATTTTATCTACTGACCAGAGAAGGCAGGTGGAATTAGGTGACACCTGCCTCGCAAGTCCACTAGGAGTTCTGTGCAGACCAGCTTCCAAACATCACAGACTATTTCAGAAGCATCATCTCTATCATGGAATGTCTCATTGTTTGGGAATTACTGAAACAGTGGTTATAAACATATCTGAATTTGTTTGGGCTTCGTGATATTGGAGACAAGTATCTTGAGTTCTATCCCAAATTGGAGATCAGACTTCTGTTGAAGTTGGCCCTGCTAAAGAGCCTCCTGATAAAAGAAATCCCACGTGTGAACTGAAGCACAGGTCTCTGAGTCCAGGAGGCCATGGGCACAGCTACCATGTGAGGCTGCATGTGGCTGTGTGGTTTGTGCACTGCACAGAAGCCATGGCTGATAGGGTAAGTTGGGGTTGAAATCCTCAAGGCTAGCTGTTTACTAAACTGTGTCCCCATACCCTCACCCAAGAGCTGTGCTCATCCAGAGAAGGTGATTTAACTAATTTGTCTACTCAGACAGGATGCTCATTTCTGTTCATTACGAAATACTTATACCTATGCATCTGATATAAAGGCATATTATTTATCTGTGGTGAAGGACCAGTTTTGTGTTGTGCGGTTTCAATTTCCAATCTACTGAAGAGCATCCTGTGGTCCTACTGCATGTGACCATGACCAGTACTCTGTGTGTGAGGCATGCAATTTACCAGGTGTGTTTGACAACACCCCAGCTGGTCCGTATCCTGATTCAAGACTTTTAAGACCACTGATCATGCATTTGGCTGTTTCAGCAAAGTCAAATTGCTGTAACATTCTCTAACCACTTATATTAGCATTGTGCTTTCTCACTCAGACTATTAATAGCTCGTGAACCAGGACTGGTGCCTGGACAACACTTTGATTAGTTTATGCCATCCAGCCTACATCCCCATGCCAATGATGCAGGGTTGAGCTAGAACTTGCACTGGGGGAGCCGCTGACAGAACCAGGTTGGACATCTCACCTGCAAAGGGCCTACTCATTGACTGACTATTAATCTATTTAATGAGACACAGCACATGAAAGTCAGCCTGATTGGGAGAGGCTAATCTCTGGACCAATCAGTTGGGTTCTCTCCAGTGGAGATAGAGCACAGTAGCTTATCTAACAAAAAGAAATAAGGGCAGGGAGCACAAAGAGAAAGGCAGAAATATGCCAAAAAGTAGAGAACCCAGGGCCCATGAGAGTGAAATGGAAGGCAGCTGTCCCCTAAAGCCATCAGCTTCTCAGGACCAGCACCAGACCTCATGAGTTTTTATAATAAACCCCCTTCTGCTAAGATGGCCTGGAGAAGGGTATAGCCCAAAAGGAAAAGAAAAGTTAAGACACCCCTCAAGAACTTGAAGAAGTGTGTGCAGGATGAGGAAGCAGGGACTTTTAGGAAAACCCAAAGTCCTGCTACAGGGAAGAGTCAAGTAAATACTATTGCTTCTAAAATAGCTAACTTTGATTGAATAATTACTGCATTCCAGGCACCGTGCTAAGTACTTTACAAATATTTTATTTTACTTTATTATTTTTTTTTTGAGACAGAGTCTTGCTCTGTCGCCCAGGCTGGAGTGCAGTGGCGCAATCTCCGCTTACTGCAACCTCTGCCTCCCGGGTTCAAGTGATTCTCCTGCCTCAGCCTCCCGAGTAGCTGGGACTACAGGTGCGCACCACCACACCCAGCTAATTTTTGTATTTTTAGTAGAGACGGGGTTTCACCATGTTGGCCTCAATCTCTTGACTGTCTTTGTCTGTCTCAATCTCTTGACCTTGTGATCCACCCGCGTTGGCCTCCCAAAGTACTGGGATTACAGGCGTGAGCTACCTACCATGCCCGGCCAAACAAATATTTTAAACTATATTTAATTCTCACAACTCTATGAAATGGCTATCATTGTTATCCATATTTTATAAAAGAGGAAACTGAGGCAGCTTCCTCAGTTTAGGTAGCATGTCCAAGGTCACATGACAAGTAAATGAGAGAACAGGGACTTGAAGCTAGGTGGGGTGGCCCAAGAGTCTATGCCATCTTTCTCAAGTAAAGCTAAAAAATAAAAATAAAAATGATGGGGTGGGGTGGCCCAAGAGTCTATCCCATCTTCCCCAAAGCTAAAAAATAAAAATAAAAATGATGTTTGTTCTTGTTTAAATTACCCAGTTTTCTCTGCCCAGACTAGTGTCATCTAACAAGATATGGGTTGTATATATTGCACTTCTTATGCAGTATAATTATTGGCTTATCTGGCTGTGCCCTAACCTTGGAAAATATTTATCTTCCTAGAACAGTGTCTGGTATATACCTAGAGCACAATAAAGATTTGTGTTTTTTAAAACAATTATATCTGGAGGAAGTGAGATTATGAAAGATCTTGATTGTCAGACAAGAAACTAGGTTTTGTTCTATGCACATTTGGTTGCATTAGATGGTTTTTGAGCCTGAGTGTGACCATGGTACATAAATGAGCAGGAGAATGGAAAGGCTGGAGGCAAAGCTACTTAGAAGACAATATTTACCAGGCAAGACTCTGAGGAGGGCCACAGAAATGGGAAAGATGGGACAAATGAGTGTAAGAACATAAGAGATTTATTATTACATAGGAAGCAATATTAGGTCATCCCAAGGAAGGTATCTGCCGCTCAAAGTTAGATCTTGAAAGTATTACTGAAGTAAACAGTGATCACTCTTTTAAAAAAATCCCACACCATCAATTTTCTTGATGGCGCAGGGAATGACCAAGGGGGAAAAACACAGAAGATAAAGATTTTGAATAGAAAAGTTATCTAGAAGAGTTGGACTCTGTGCCAATCATGGAATGGTCAGGGATCAGAATTCACCATCGGGGGTTCAAATAAAAAGGCTTTAATAAAAGAACTAAGGTCCCACTGAGAAGTCATTACTACCCCTAGTTTTGAAAATATTAAGGCAGGAGATCTTAATAGGAACTCAGTAAGAACTGGGGAAGCTGTAGTCCCAGAGGGTTACAGTGACTACCAGAGACATTGCACCATAGCTGGGAGAAATACTCCAATATTCCTTTTCTCATTCCCCAGTCTCCTGATGGTGCCTTTCACTGGCTAAGCCAATCAGCACCTGGAAGACACTGAGCTTGGAAGATGCAGCCCACAGTGGTGAGCTCCCCAGGGCACAGAGCTGGATAGAGAAAGACAGACATATAGAACTGGAGGGGCAATTAGAGAATATGAAGATGTTCTAGAATATTCAACGAATTTATTTTACTGATATTTTCCTTTTATGTGCAGGGAAACAATAAATGACAAACGAAAATGTCTAAATGTGTATGAAAGAGCTTTTGCAGAAAGTATACAAAAAAAACTGGAAGTAACAAAAACATTGTGTCAGTTTAATTGACAGCTTTTTCCCCCTTCCTAATGGTTCATGAAATAACGGTGAGTCACACGATGCTGCTCCACTTTTTTTTTTTTAACAAAAAAAGAGGATTTGGTAATTTAGGATGCATTTGTTGCAAGAAACAGAATCCAATGCAAGATGATAAACAACAAAAACAGTATTAGTTGCTTCCCATAACTAGAAAGTCCCTATCTAGGGTGGACATAAGGGTTGGGTAGATTTGGTGGCCCAGTGATAAAATCGAGTACATAGTTTCTTTCTGGCCTTCTGCTATGTGTTTCATTGTATCATATTCATCCTGGAGCTGGCTCCCTTCCTGTGGCTGAAAGAAGGCAGCAAACAATCCCTTGAATTACATTTTCAATATAGATAGAAAACAAGTTGTTGCTGGAAACTCCCTCAGGAGATCCTTCCCAGAAGCATCTGGAACACTACCCCCTGCACTACTCACTGGACCAAATATCTGCTCTATAGTAATGACCAACAAATAGAATCACACTGATTAACATAGGCTTGAGTGACATGACTGTTTCTAGAGTCAAGGTAGAGTTAAGTTCCCCCCACAACCAGACAGCTACACTAGAGAACTGTGAATTGCTACATGTTCCCTGCCCTCCAAAAGTGAGGGTAATGACCAACAGAGGGGTGAATGGGTCCTTGGGAAGTAGGCACCACCTGTACAATACTATTTAACTAAAATATCGTTGCTTTTCATGGCATTATAAAACATGCAATACATGCACCATGGTCAAGATTCTCTCCCTCTTTTTTTTTTTTTTTTTTTTTTTTTTGAGACAGGGTCTCACTCTGTCACCTAGGCTGGAGTGCAATGGCATGATCACAGCTAACTGCAGCCTTGACCTCTGAGGCTCAAGCAATGATCCCACCTCCACCTCCCAAGTAGCTGGGACTACAGGCAAGTGCTACCACACCCAGCTAATTTTTGTAGAGGCTGAGTTTCACCATGCTGCCCAAGCTGGTCTCAAACTCCGGGGCTCAAGCCATCTGCTTGCCTCAACCTCCCAAAGTGCTGGGATTACAGGCATGAGCCACCACACCTAGCCAGTCAAGATTTTTAATAGCAAACAACTGAATACACTCTAGCTGGTGAAAGTAAACAAAGACTTTATTAAAGGCATTAGGGAGCTCTTGGAATTTTCAGAAGACTCAGAGAACTAGACCATAAAGCTAATCAACCACACCAAATTCTTTGCTATTGAAACACCTCATAATACCATTTGGTAATACAGCATGTAGAACCGAATGCTAGGAAGCCAGTACCAACACCAAAAAACTGAACAGCCAGGCACAGTGGCTCATGCCTATAGTCCCAGCTACTCAGCAACATAGTGGGACCCCATCTCTAAAACAAAGAAACAACAACAACAACAACAAAACCCAAACACCTCCAAACACCTTTGCCACTATGCTTGCCTGGAGATTGAGCTCATGATGCCTTCAACTGCATCCAAATCTCATGTGTGCATGTCCGATTGTCAGAGCCCAGGTCATATGCCTGAACCTCAGCTCCCACAGAGTATGGTGATGGCGTGTCCGGCATCTACCTGAGAAGGTAGGATTCAGTGTGGGATGTATTCAAGATCAGAAAAGTATCCAGAAGATTTTGAGCAGCCCCAAATAGTACTTCAACATGCAATGTCATTCACTGCTTCTGTGGGCCCAGGAAAATGTACTCCTGGGCAAATGAATCACAGCTCAGAGAAAGAAAGATTTGTTCAGCAAATGCCGCAAAAATGCCTCACTCTGCAGTTTAATAGGGTGGCAATGCAAACAGGATGCTCTGAGAGGAAAATCATGCCTAGCTATCTCAATCTGTATCTCTACCAGGCTCAAAATTCACTTAATTCTAGGACCAACACTGATCCCTGCCATAACATAAATACTCATTTAACAACTGTCCTATGTGTTATCTGTGTATCACTTAGTTTCTTGGCTCCTGACAAAATCCATTTCTTTCATAATATACTTCAGATATAAAATGTATTAAGAACAGACATATTTAAGGCTCATTTCTCTTTTGTGATGTGGCATGTTCACTATTAGGGATCTAGACAGTTGACAACTACATGGATGAACAAATTTGCAATGCCTTGACTGGTGTTTTTATAATAATGACCTAATTGCTTATAAAGAAATATAATAAAACTAACATATATGTGACACCAACTATGTGTTCCTGTATTAGGTGTTCTACAAACAGTATCCCATTTTATCTTCTGAAAAAGAAGAAGGTAGGTGCTATTATTCCCATTTTACCAGAGAGGAAACCGAGGCTCAGAGACATTCTCTATCTGGCTCTCCGTCATATAATCTGCCTCCTAGAATCATCCACTTACGAAATCTTGCAACACAGAAACAAAGAGATGACCTGCTTCAGAGATGAGGGTAGGATTCTTATATTTCCCAGGACTTTTCTACCATGCATCTCCAACCATTGTTTCCCCCGTACTGAGATATCATCCCTGGTTTTAGTGTGCATCTCAGATAACAGTTTCACCAACCCATCCACTCTAGGTTTCTTCCAGCCTTCATTAACTCTAATTTCATTATCACCTGTTCTGGTGTGACCCTGTTCCCTGTGCACTTCTCTCCTTTCTCATGGGAAATGAATTTCTGTCTCTGCATCAGCTCTCTATCCAACTGTGTGAGCCCCGAGGCAAAGCACTCATTTGTATGTGAGTACTGTCCGTCTCTCCTGTCATCCCCAGCTACCTCCTAAGGCTCTGACTCTTCGGTCACCTCTGGCTTCAGATGGGACTAAAGGGAATTTCTTAACCAGCATGTTGTGTGTGTGTGTGTGCGTGCACACATATGTGCACATATGCTTAATATCACTCAGATCATTCTGATTTCGTGTATGAATTGTAGTTCTGCATTTTATTAAAGTCTTCTTTCACCCCTTTCATTTTATTTTGTGGATTCTCACCACTATTGAATATGGCTCATGTATCCTTTGGGAGAAATAATAAATAATTTTCTATTTGGGAGCAAATTAGATGAAGTTTATTTGATTTGCTTAGAAAGGCCAAATTTCTCAAAACAGTAAGTAAATGGGAGGCTGCTCTAGCAATACCAATGGAGAATCTATCAAAAAGCTCAGAAGTCCTACTGACTGGGGGAAAAAAAAGATATAAAAGACAAGACAAGAAAAAAAAAAAACCTTGCCTCTGCTTTCTCCTTCTTCCCCATCTAACCTCCTAAGCTCCCCCTCCCCACTAGCCCTCTGCAGTGTGATTGTCTTCTGATTCAAGGCCAGACAAAATAGCAGGGCAATAATGTTTTATTTCTGTTTTGTTGCCAGTGAGCTTGTGCTAAATCTCTCTATTCCCAGCCTCCTCTCTTCAAGTATATATACTTCAAGCAAAACAGAGGCAACGGAACTGGAATGTATAAAGTCAGGGAAAACACACGTGCACACGCGCACATACATTCATATATGTATATACTAATAATAACTTTTATTCTTTTACAAATGAAGGCAGTACTTTTTGTGATCTAATAACATTTTAATAAACTTGAATTTCAAACTGCTACTAAACATAACATTAGGTAACGTATTAACTTGTGTTACATAAAGTCTCCATTATTAATTACTTTTTGGTTTTTGTATTTTGTATTTTCGCAAGAAGTGAATGCTGTCATCATGCTCGTAGTCTGTTTCTCTTGAGTATATATGAGAGGTATTTGAAGGCAAACCAAGAAACAAGGACAAATATCATTACTGATTTCAAAAAATAAACAAAAAAACAGAAGATTGTGCTACTCTGACCAAGACAGAAGGGAAAAATAAGTTTAACATGTCCAAAGAGAGAAGTCGTAGCTATTTGGCAAAGGAAATGACTGAAACGATGTCGAATCTTTCCAAGAAAAGTTATGTTTGATTAAAATTTTCCCTCTGATTCATCCTAAGAAACCATTTTCCCCCAAGGCCTGGAGTGGACATTTTGAAGGACACGTGCCTGTTATTGATACTGAATTCAGTCTCAGTGCATTATTTTAAAGCAATCACAGTGGTAGCTGTACGCCAGTATGTGTACGGCCTTCAGATAAGCAATTGACTGTGAAATAATGGTACACAGCATTTAATATATACCCTCTGGTTATGGGTGTACATACTAAACAAACAGTATTTTAAAATATATGCGTATACATATAAACACGCAAACCCCACAAGTTAAAGCTGTCTATCTCTAAATGGACTGGCAGCTGCTTGAAATTTCCCCTCTACTCTCCCTAAGGTCTCAGGTGTGAGATCCATGAGCCAATGTCGCAGCTAGAACAGGTGTCTATCGCTGGGTAAATAGCAATTAGGCCCAAATTTCAGACTTTTTTTTTTTTTTCAAATCCCTTTCGGAGGAAAAGCCCAGGAATAAATAGTTGCTGTAACGGCCAGGGGTATTGTGTAGCATTATAGCCTCCAGCTGGTCTATTACATACTATAGACAGGCAAAGAATACGGGCACCTGACAGATGTGTTCTGTTAGCTTCATTAGGAAAGAAACAAAGAAACTCCTCAATTAATAGCAGCAGAGCCAAATCGGGGTGGGGGGAGAGCTTGAGGGGAGAGGAATCATAGCCTGTTATTTAAACAGAGTCAGGGAGCTTTTCACTAGTGGCTTAATATGATTCATTAATAAAAACAGCTTTTTGAATGCCCAGTTTAAGTCAAAAGAAATCACTAGCATTTTTTTCCCCTAGCAAAGGAAGGGCAAGATGACAAATTGCTGCTGTTAAATTCGTTTCACGTGGGGATGGCCTTTCTCAAAGATCCCTTAAACGGCAAGGCTGGGTGTTTGTCACATTAAGTGGCAGAGCAGTTCTCAAAAATCGACTGTGGCACATCAGGGTCTGCGATGAATGGGCAGCAGTGGCCATCCAATAATTTTATATATCCAGACCAGGAAGCATTTAGTGTTGTTTACATGAACGAGGATTTTTAAAGTAATGAAATGCAGCTCTTACCCTGATGAAAGGAAAATCTGTCCGTGGAGTCACTTTTAATTTTTTTTTCTTCTTCTTGGAATGGTTTGAAATACTGGAGCAGCCCAGTTGGTGACTGCAGGTTTTGTTTCTTGCAAGCAGCAGAAGTCTGGTTATTTCTCCTTTTGTTTTTCCTTTGCTGAAGATACACGGGGAATCTATGTACAGTGTAAATATGTACAATTGTGAAAAGGGGAGTTGTATATTATATTAGCAATATATGAGTTCTGAATAAGAATGGTTCTTTTTCCAAGCAAATCAGAACTACAGTAAGAACTCAGCTTTCGTAATAATAATTCCCAGTGATGATTCTGGATACTTGAAAGAAGAATACTACTTGCTACCAGGAGGTTAAAGTAGACAGTCTGACCTAGTTGCTGGGCTTAAGGAATGAATTCCTGACACCCCCTCCCCCCACCCCATCACCACCACTCAATTTATACAGCACAGAGTAAAAAGGACTCAGAGGCAAGGACCTAGAAAATTCAGGGGAATTTCTGGTCAATTATCCAGGTAATTCAGGCATAATTACTATGAGTGTATTCACCTGGATGGTTTTTTATATGCTAAGAATTCATGGATAGCAGGATTATAACTACCAAGGCACAGTTCAGTGGAGAGTAGCCACAGGAGTCCCGGAGTAACCTAGGCCAGCAAGGATACGCTCCAAAATCAGAATTGAACACTCATCTGTCTAATTGGGGTGTTGTCCCGCCAAAGAAATAGAAATCAAAACATAAATGGTCATGGCCAAATATGATGGGCCAGGGTCTTTGTGATGGAAATGTAATTGTAAATCTTTATGGCCAACTCAGGCTGCGATGTCTTGATGCTCTTCAATTTTTAAAATATACTCTTGGCTTCTATTTGTATTTTCCCCCCTCAAATAATAGCTACAGAACAAGAAGGCCTAATATCTATTCCCAAATGAACAGGAATGAAAAGGAAAAACAGCAAGCTTTCCTGGAAGCAAAGGCATTTTTCACCCAAAAGTCTCTTTCTACACTGCTAATATTTCACATTTGACATCAAGGAATTGCAACCATGAAGGAAAAAGGTCAGAATGTGAAACTGTTATGTTCAGACTCTAACTCATTATGGATCTTAATCTTTAGAAACAAGTAATAGTTCCAGCAGTAACTTACCATTGGTTATAACTTAAAGTTCCTTCTCAGAGACCTGATGAAAGAAACCCTCATTGTCATTGTTTGGCAGATCCTTGTAGAATGCAGTCTTTCAAACCTAAAATCACTTTTGATGAGGGTGCAGAAAATGTTCAAAACTCCCATCAAAAGATGAGGTCGAAATTCAAAATCATGAAAATAATCACTTAGTACAAACAACCAACAAAGTATAATCCTAGCCTGCAAGTTTGGGTCAAAAATGAAGTGTATTTCAGCTTGTTTAGAAAAATACAAGTTGGATCTTTACTATTTTTCCTTTCTCAACTTAATGTCAAATGCCATTTTTTTTCCTTTAGTGTCTTTAAACAACTCAGAAGCATGGATGCACATTTGGTTTCCAACAGTGTATAGACACCTTCAACATTAGGCTTGACTCCTCTCACTCTTACTCCCTCATTCCCATGTTCATCAGATTCTGATATTTTTGCCTCAAAGTGAGTCTCAGATCCACTCCATGCTCTCCATCCATCCCATCATCATTCAGCTCCTTGTCATTGCTCACTTGAGCTATTGCACGATCTCCCTTTTTTTTAATTTTATTTTGAGACAGGGTCTCACTCGGTCACTCAGGCTGGAACGCAGTGGCACAGTCATGGCTTACTGCAGCCTTGACCTTCTAGGCTCAGGTGATCCTCTCACCTCAGCCTCCCGAGTAACTGGGGCTACAGGCGCACCACCACGCCTGGCTGATTTTTGTATTTTTTGTAGAGATGAGGTTTCGCCCAGTTGCCCAGGCTGGTCCCGAACTCCTGGGCTCAAGTGATCCGCCCACATCGGCCTCCCAAAGTGCTAGGATTACAGGAGTGAGCCATCGTGCCCAGCTGCAAAATCCTCTTAATCGGTCTCTTTGCCTCCAGTCTTAAACCCTCCAGACTTATCTTCACTCTCCTGCCAGAAGGAGCTTTCTCAAATGAGAATCAGATGTCCATTCCTTGGTCCAAATGCATTCCATGGCTCCTATCATTTAGAAAATGAATTCCAAAGTCTTTAGCACTGTAGACAATGACTGGACGGACCACATCCTGCCATTCCCTGTCATTAGTGTAGCTTTTCTGGAGACTTCTAGTATATTCCATGTAGGTGATCATATGTACGATGTTAGCTGTAGGTTTCTTGCAGATGTCTTTTATAAGGTTGAGGAATTTCCTTTCTACTTCACCTTTGACAGAGACTTTTTATTATGAGTGGGTGCCACACAGAAAGTACCTTGAGGCCTTGATGCTAATCACAAATGACTATCCATTTATATATATTAGGTGAATAAATATATTAATACATCTCTTCTGATGTCATGTGTGACGTTTTTGGTCCACTCCTACTCTGATTAAATATTTTTATCTTACTGTTTCCATTTCCCTTACACTGTGCACCCAGCATGGTCTCTCTCACACTGTAAGCTCCTTACAACCAGGTGTGGTGACTATGTAATTCTTTATACTCAGCACATTTACATGCAAAATTCATGGCTCAATAATATGTTTTGTTATGAGCACAGAGTTGAAAGGATAGTATTTCTGGTTTGATTTCTACCTTGCTCTGGAATTGTTTGCAAAGAAAATTAGAAAGTAGAATACACTGAGACAGAAAAATGTTTTGATTACTGAAATTTGTGCATGTGGCCAACTGTGTTTGTTAGGGGGTTACAGAATTTGCTACAAAGTGTGTTGAGATAGCTTAATTGGGACCAT
The DNA here is from genome assembly GCF_000001405.40 of Homo sapiens. NCBI lineage: Eukaryota > Metazoa > Chordata > Mammalia > Primates > Hominidae > Homo > Homo sapiens. The sequence continues at coordinate 19,980,013 of NC_000006.12, forward strand.
AAGCTGAGAAGGACTTTTCATACGGTTTCTTGTTGGTGTAAAGAAGAATCACATTTGTGTAAATTTCCTTCTATTCAAAAATCATTCATCTTTCTTTTGCTGTTCACAGATTTCCAGGGCCAGATTCAGTTAGATCTGTCACAGACAGGCACAGACAAACACAAATAGGAAAAGTGTTTGAGAGTAGCAAAAAACTGGATAGATTATGCCACTTATTTTACTGTCTCTTGTTGTCTCAAATATAACTCTTTGTCCCATCTGTCAAGAAACCTGCTGATTTTAACATTCCATTTTGTTGTCAACAACTCTTTCTATTCTTTCCAAACCTTGAAACCACAGAATGAAATTCCACTGGCATTTAGTTTAAAAAAAAACCTCATAAATAATTTTCATCATGTTTGAGGCTTGTATTTGTGACCTTTCTCTTCCATTCTACCCTTCAGTTTCCCTAACTAGGGTCACAAAAAAAAGGAAATCATGGGCTTTTTTTAATACAGCTTAGAAACTGTTTGGGTGGCAAATTTTTTTAAAAGAAAAAGAAATAATAATCCCAGGACCTTCTTTTAAGTGGTAATCTTAAAGAAACAAATTCATGAGAAAAGACAAAATACAACTTTAAAAACAAAGCAACTTCCGTATGTATTTAAAAAGTAAAAGACAATATTGAAAAATACTCACAGCAAATCGACCAAGTGTTTATCTTTTCTATACAGAGAATACATTTAAATGGATGAGAAAATATGAGAGTCCCAATAGCCAAACTAGGACACAGGAGGTGAAAGAATAATTCTAAGCATTCAACCAGAGTCATAAAAATTCAACAGCAAGATATCATTTTTTACTTTTGCAAAATATTCAGAATAGTAATACTCAGTGTTAATAAGGCTGAGGTGAAGCTGAGACTCTCACCTGGTGATATATTAATGACCCTATTCTATAGGAAAGCAGTTGGCAGTGTTTCAGGAGTCATAAAGATGTTCATACTCATTTACTCTGAAATTCCTTTATGGAAAATACTCAGAAATTAAAGGAATTTTTCAAACTATGTGAGTATATTTATCTCAATGTACATTTCAATAGTAAACTCTTGAAAATATCCTATATGTTTATGACACACTTCTATAAATAGAATATACAACCAAAAAATTATATGTGCCAAGAGTTTTTAATAACATAAAGAAATGCTAATGGATTATACTTAGAGAAAGAAGAATAGAATACAGATTCTAACTGCTTTGCTCTTATTGAAGAGCTGGCTGAGTTAAGAAAAGATAATTTTTGAGAGGCTTTCCTTCTTTAATTATATGTATATATAACATATAATATAAAATATAAAATGCCTTTAAAGGACTATAATAAATGCATACATTGTTAGCAGACAAATAGTAAGGGTGGTGAAATTATGAATAATAATATTTTTTGTTTCAATGATTTGTTCTTTAATATTTTATAAGAATATGTGTCACTTCTACAATCAGAAAAAAAGTAGAGGTTTAAAAGACTTGAAAAGTTAGGGCTATTTCCATTTGCTTTTCTTGGGTCTTCTGTGATAAATGACATCTAATTATTTAACCCTTAGAAGGAAAACCATTTGTATCTAACATGTGTCAGGCACTATGCTAAGCAATTGGACATATCTCATTTAATCTTTATGATAACCCTGAAAAATAGATGTTAACTTTATTTTTATATGTAAAGAACACAAGGCTCAAAAAGTGTAGGCATCTTACCCCAGATCATATGAATAAGAAGAACCAGGGTTGGTGTTTCAACACCATACGATTTCCACATTATCATCAATGTTGACTTGCCTAAGACGGCAACCCTTCCAGGTGAAATCATTTATTATCAGGAAAAATAAATTATGAATTTATTTATTAAAGGAATAAGATTTAAATTCACTTTTAATTTGAGCTTTTGCATTGCCTTTGTTTGTTTAGAGACTGAAAGAGCAGGAAAGAAATTCGAGAAGTGTCTTTTCCAAAATCAGCCATCATTGTTTTAGTTTTTCAAATGAGTGCAAAATAATTCGCAATATATAAGGATAGTTATCAGTTATCAACCATAATTTCTGTTATACGTCTAGTCTGATCATATCACCTCCAGCAACACAATATTTACCTCACCAATAGTACAACAAAAGCACTCGGAATCTTTCTTACAAGCCTCTCCTGCAGTTTTTGTGATTAACCTATAATAAAAAGAATGGGCAAATGACAGTCATTTAAGACGGAGTTTCTATTCTTAAACTTCTCTCACACCAATTTGTCAAAAATACCTCATGAACATAGGATCACCTGCGAGGCCTGAGACAGCTTTGTTCTTGCTTCCTTGTTGTTGCTGGTTTTATTCCTTCCTTAATCGTTTTATGCCTAACTAGACAGAACTTTCAGCATCTTCCTCGCACTTAGGGCAAAGCTACTCAGGTGAGTAAAATCAGTATCAGCCTCTTGCATTACAGATTCTGAGGTTTGTTTCAAGGCATGTCATAGGCTTCAGTCAAAAGCCAAAAACAATCTCATCGATGCCCAAAAGGAGACGTTCGTGCTCTCTTTGCCTCTCCCCACTCTCTTAAAAATCACAGGGACACAGCTCATTCCACCCCTCTCACAAACCTTCCCTTGACCACAGGGACAAATAGATTATGACTGAACTTTTATTCTCTTCTTATGTGTATGGGTAAGTTTTTGAAACAGAAGAATTAGTTCAACCTGAAAAGTCTGTTTTAATCTCTCTATGTGCTTTTAATTTTCAAAAAAATATTTCCTCTTTCATCTTTGCTTCATACTCTACTACAAATTATGCTGGTTCTATTCCTCTAGTGCATGAAGCTAGTGAGTTGCTATGTCTCAGCTCTCCATGTGGGTTCCGGCATCAAAGCCTTGGGCCAATTTTATTTCATTTGTATTTGCTGTCAGAACAATGTCTTTATTCTAAAATGCCCTTCTCAAATCACCTCTCAGGTAGTTTGATACAAGCAGCGTGCAGCAGAAAAATATCTTTAAAAAAATCTATGTTATTTCTTTTATGTTTTACTGTGAATACTGAATGCATGGCACACTTAGTTAAACAACATCTTGAGTTCCATTTTTAAGATGAAACGCACCTTTTATTTTAAATATCTCTGAGACAACTGATCTGCTCTCCTTCTATGGAAGGGGTTTTTGTTTGGAGGGGGGTGGTCTATTCAAATTACTGCTCAGCAATAAACATTTTTACAATCTCGTTTGTTTTAGACTGCCAGATGACACCTAGATTGATTCGATTTTGTAGAAAATTCTCACAAAATAAAGACTGAAATGCATTTAGGGAGCTGACAAGGCTGTAGAATTCCATCACGTCAAATTAGCATGAGAAGGAAAATGAGAGCGAGGGTGGACTGAGAATCCGATCATCTTGCCTAACCACGCTGTGTAAACGTGGAGCACTCACAAGAAAATACCTTTCTTTCCTTTGTTGCGTGTATTGTAGGGAGCCAAAGGGAGGGGGAAGAAGAGATTTAAGGAGAAATTGCAGCGAGGTGGCAGGTAGTGGGCAGGGTATCAATCCAGTTTGTCACATTAAGGATTGTAAAGAATCCATCTCAGAATGACATTGATGACTCAGGGTATTCGGTTCAGTCCAAACTAAGGCAAATGGCAGTGGCGCGGTAAGCGCAGAAGTCAACAGGGAATTCAACCTCGGAGAATGCTGGGAGAAAGGGAGACAAGCAAGACACAGCACAGCAGCTGATTTTGCAGGGCTGCATTTGTGAGAGAGTTAGAACTCTCACCCGCCCTCACCATTTCTCTTTGACCACAATGTCAGACATCCTCCATCAGGTTCACCCTTTCCATGGCTGCCCTTTGCAGACGTCCGTCGACTGAGAGCAAACTGGTGTGCACGCCTGTGGTCTATATTCTGGGCTAAGGAAAGGACAACCTGCACAGGTTCACAGGCGCATGTGCTGTTCTTAGAGAAGTCATTCTTAATACAAACTGCCCTACACCCACCATTACTTCCTGCTTCTCACTGGCCCCCATCAGCGTCACAGAGAGAGTGTATCCTCAGACCATCCCCAATTCCTTTGACCCTCTCTATCCACAGAGTAACTGCCAGGCAACAACCACTGTTTGTCCTTCATTGCACTCTTCCTAATTAGCAGGTATATGCGTATTTATGTGTTTGTTTAGTTTCTGTCTTCCCCCCTAGAGAAAAGGGAAACCCTGTGGGGCATGTCTCATTTGCTGCTATCTCCCCACTGCCAAACACAGTGCCTGACACGTAGTAGGGCCTCAGTAACTATATGTGGAATAAATGAATAAACTGTTGGATGAGCCGGGTGCAGTGGCTCACGCCTGTAATCCCAGCACTTCGGGAAGCCGAGGCGGGTGGACCACTTGAGGTCAGGAGTTTGAGACTAGCCTAGCCACATGGTGAAACCCCCTATCTACTAAAAGTACAAAAATTAGCCAGGCATGGTGGCAGGTGCTTGTAATCCCAGCGACTTAGGAGGCTGAGGCAGGAGAATCACTTGAACCTGGGAGGTGGAGGTTGCAGTGAACTGAGATTGCGCTATTGCACTCCAGCCTGGGCGACAAGAGCAAACCTCCGTCTCAAAAAAAAAAAAAAAAAGAAAAAGTTGGATGGATGAGTGCACGAATTTATAAAGTATGTCTCTAGGAAACAGAATATAGAGTTTCTATCTTACAGATCTGGTCAAGTAAAAAAAAAGATATTTTGTCGCGTTGCACTGATTTTTAGATTTTCTCATATTTTAACATCTTTCAAATGGGATGGATTTTACAATTTATAGAGCCTTAAAATTATAAGCACCAGAGTTTTTCTTTTCTTTCTTTCTTAATAGCGTATAATAGTGTGTCTTACAATCACTGGTGTCTTAGAAGAGTTATAATCACAAATCATAGCCAATATAAAGGCAAATAAAAACATCTGTATGGGTGATGTCTCTCACAAGCTTCCCAGGGTTCCTTCAGACTGAGGTTTATCAAACTTTACATCAGAATCACTTTGTTGAAAACGCATTTTTCTGGGATCAACTCCAGAGATTCTGATTCAGCAAGTCTGAAGCAACGCCCAGGAATCTGCACTTTTAAAGCCTTCCAATGTTTTTGCTGCAAGTGATCCTCTGCCTTCACTTTGATAAATATTCCATACAACAAAGTTCTTCAAATGTTTCTCCAGCCCTATTAAGGTACCTGAAAAGGTTCCAATATTTTTTTTTAGCAAATCATTGAAGGTCTAGTCTTCAAAATAGAACTAACTGTAGGTCCCTCTGCCTTGGGTCATTCATTACTGTCCCTATCGGAAGACACACTTGGTAACTGCTAGGCACCTCCACTGACTCTGATACTACTAGAAAATGCAACTGTATTTCAGATCATACGTGCCCTTTGGCTGAATTTACATTAGAAAGTATAATAGTTGGACCATGGTAACATATCCAAGAGGTAACATTTGGGTGGATTTGCAGAAGGATTTGGGTGGATTTAGCAGTTCTCAGGTGAACAAGAGCTGGGAAGGAGGCTTTTTTCTAAGCAGGAGGAATAGCGTATACTGGTAGTAGATATGGATATCACCTCAAATCCCTCTTGGAAGCAGAGAGTCAATCAACACTTATAAATGAAAATATTATTACTACTTTTTTGTAAAGGTCTATCCTCTATTAAAGCAGATATTTATCTAATACCTAACGCTTTCCTTGCAACTACCCTTAACAATGAGAATAATATTTGTGTTAGGAGCCTCTACTGGAGCCCCAGTGATCCTCACATCCTGGTATTCATGCCTTCATGTAATCTGTGTTCCTTGAGTGTGGGCTGGACCTAGTGACTTGCTTCTAGTCAACAGAAAACCACACACATGATGGGATATTACCACCAGGATCAGATAACAAAATGGCTTGCTTCCATCTTGCTCATACTCTTGCTTTCTCATTCACCTGCCCTGAGGAAACCAGCTGCCATATTGTGAGTGGTCTTCTACAGGTTCATAAACAAGGAACTGAAGGGGGTCTTCAGCCAACAGCCTGCAGGGAACTGAATTCTGCAAATAATCATGCAGATGAACTTGGAAACACACCTCACTCCACACCTTTTAGATGTGACCACAGCTCTGGGTGACAGCTTGACTACAGCTTCATGAAAGAACCAGAGCCAGATATATCAGCTAAGTTGGGTTCAGATTTCAGATCATCAAAATCTGTGAGATATAATAAGTGGTTATCATTTTACGCTGCTGTGTTTGGGGTAACTTGTAACATAGCAGTAACTAAGTAACACAAGACTCTTCATATCTCACTAGATACACACAAAATCCTCAAGAGATAGATGGCAGGTATCATTACACTCCATTTTACACATAAGGAATCTGAATCCAAGGGCTTAGTTACTTAAAAAGGTAATTTAACTCAGATATGGCAATACTAAGACTCAAACCTAAACTCCATGCTCATTCCTTTCAACCACATTTGCAAGAACATTCCATTAAGGATCTGCAGAACTGAGTCCTGATTCTAGCTCTACCAAATACTATCTGTGTCACGGAGTAGCTCAATTAACCCACCTGGCTATTAGATTCTTCATATATACAGTGAGATGTTGGGTTGAGGATCATCAAAGTCTCTCTTAGCTCAAAATTTTGTCCATTTTATAAAAGGAAGACAAACAATGTAACAAATTATTTTGGTGGTTAGAGATATAATCAAGAAAACTGTCTCTCAGCTCCAGTCTCTGTCCATTATTCCTGTGCTAATCTCAATGTGCTTAACTTGTTCCTTTTACCATCAATTCTGAGAGAAATGTGGGGCCTTATTATCCTGTCTTTGAGCTTCCTCTTGAGGAATAGCCCCCTGCTATGACCTTCACAGATCCAGCAATGCCCAGTTTGGGGGGCCATAAATGCCAGGTGACAATAACAAGACCAATTTTTATCAGCTGGTTCTGTTCACTAAAATATTGAGTTAAGTTATCCATGCTCAGAAAACCATAATCTCATTTCTGTGACTTACCTTAATTAGTTAACACCTAATGGTCTGGAGAGCCAGAGGCATCACCAAGAGTAAATCAACACAAAATATATTGCTTGACTATTCATTGAAAGAACTTGCCATTACATGATGAGTTAACAGTAAGTTATCGGAAATGTGACTACCTTTATTGTAAATGATTCTTTTTTAATCCACACGGGAGAGGAGTGGGAGAGTAAATGTACTGTGCCATTATGAACCTGTCAGTCACACATGTATGAGACATCAGCTCCATCTAGAACAAAATTTGCTGCCACTCAGAAATAATGTTTAACATTAATCTGTTATTCTGATCTGTACTCACTAGATTTTTGATGGACAGATGAACTTATAAAATTTTTAATACAGCCATTTTCTAAAAAGCTAAAACCTGAAGTTACATTTACTCTTGGTAAGAATTAACCATAATTATCTAATGTCCATTTCCATTGTTCATTCTACTCTCATTCATCTTAAATGCCTAGTAAGACTCTGTAGGTATACACATAGTATAGATAATATGCTCAAGATTGTAGCCAAATAATTGGTGTTGGCAAAATTGAGAGTAAGAAACTACACTACAGCACCATCACAAATAAGCACTAAATTTATCTACTCACAGATGCAGACAACAATACATTTTAAATACTTGTGTTTTCCCTAAAGCAGGAAAAAGATGGATAAATAAATAAAAATCAGCAATGCTCTGTCCAGGGCCTAGAATAAAAAATCTATTTTTCATGAGATGACATTCTGAATTAAAATAAACAGTGAAGATTTAAAACACAAATGGGAGGCCAAAATGAGCGATAAGCAAACAGAAAAAGATAAGTAAAAGAAAAGGCATTTGAAAAACCACAGAAAATATCATTCACTTGAACTGGGAAGAGTGCCATCACCTTAAATAGTAACAACCCCAGAAGCACTCCAGGGGACATCCAGGTGGACACTGTCTTGTGTGGATCCCCTTCCCACCTTCAAATACAGGAACCCAGTACAGTCTGGTGGTTTCACAGATTCAAGCTACCTTTAATATTTGAATATTAAAAATTACCCTTTGACAAGGGTTATATACTAATATTCATTCTCCCAAATCACTAGAAGCCACCGACAAATGAAAAACACCTTTTTAAACAATGCAATTATTTAACATTTTATAAACATTTTTATATTTCAGGATATTTTAACAACTTATTGTAAAACATTCATAACTTTAAAAGTCTTCATTGTTTCTCTGGAATTCAAATTTAACTGAGAATCTTGTATTTTTATTTGCTGGCTCTGACAAACCTACTCCTATTCTCTGGGAAGCAATAGGTAGTTAGCTAGCTAGTTGGGGCATAGCTGAGACCAGAACTCAAACCTCAGGACTCTCAGCTCTGAGCACCTTCCACAGAGGATTAAACCCAGGAAGAAAGTTACAACTAACCCAACCTGAGAAGCAAATCATGAAGCACAAAAATGGGTGGGGTTGGAAAAATAGAGGAGGGAATATACCTTCCTAACTGGCCAGGAAAAAAAAAGGTTTTCAAAGCAACTGCAATTATTTGAAAATTATTTTCAAACAAATATCTTTTATTTTCTGAAAGTGTTTCTACAAAAGTCAGTGTCCCAAACCCACATTAGATTCTGTCCAACAAAATCCTATTCAGATCTCACCTGGATCTGAATTTCCCAGAGAGATTGGATAGAAGTCACCAGAATCTGAAACTAAGATATATGCCCTAACATGCAATAGAGATTCAGCACCTCGGACAGTAGTCGCTATTATGGTAAAGGATACATAACCCTTCTTTCTAACTATTCTTGAGTACTGAGGCTTTGGAGACTTACTGCTCCCTCTGTGAAACTAGCTGCACGTTCTCACAGGTTTCCCATCCCTCTAATGGGTTACCTCATCACAATGGCAAATTAGATTTCCAAACAGATGTTGGACATCAACATCCAAGGCACTTCTATCACAACTACAGGCCCTTCTTTTGTTCTTTCTTTTTTGTTTTTAAACCCTTTCCTGCCTTTTCAAATTCTCATCCATTAATTTTTTTCTCATCATTTAAAAAATTTCTGTACTCCATAAATTTGCACGCACATCATGTAGTCCTGATGCAGACCCTCATAACTAAAATAACATTGCACTTGAGCAATAAAGATGTGATAGAAGAAGAAAAGACAAAACTATAAAAAACAGACAATATGTTAGTGATTGCCAGGGGCTGAGAATGAGGACTGAGGGTAGAGTTGCCTACAAAGGGGCACAAGGACCGTGGGGAAACTGTTCTATACCTTGATTACCATGATGGTGGCACAACCGTATGCATTCAAGAGAAGTCACAGGACTCTATATTATAGAGGGTGAATTCCAGTTTATGTAAATTATACCTCAATAAACCTGATTTAAAAAGAAAAATATATTACAAAAAAGATAAATATATGTCTGACAACTAGCTCTGCAGGGTGGATCATTGTTAGTCCTGCCACAGGCTGCATTGCTTTAAGACAGCAGCTGTATTAATTATGTTTGCTCTAAAAACTTCATTTGAAGAGGGACATTCACCAACTAGAGATGATCCTGATGTTGGTGACTAGAATTAAGAGGCTAGGCCTTTCAGAGTGGTTTCAGCAGACAGAACTTGTGCCAATAAGTGGAAGAGAGAAGAAGGTGGAATCCAATTATCTAATAGAATCAGTTGCCTTTTTATTTCTGGGGGAAGGTATTCAAACAGTAGTTGAAAAACATTCTAGCAGAGATTATACTAAAAAGATGTAGGGTTAGATGGGAGTTAAACTATATGTCAACCAACAGCCTTTACAACTCTAAAATTCTATTGAATTAACCCGAAGTCCTACCTATGTGTCATGCTTAATTCTTAGTATGACCTTATAATGCATTACTTTTCAGAAAACAATTCAAAGTTCAATCCCTGGTAAACAATCATGACTGTTTTTTTCTTTAGAAGATAAAAATATATGTATTATTCCAAATGAATTTCTAAGCACATCAACAATTATTACCTTTATATAAAACATATAATATTTACACTAACTTTATTCCTTAAAAGTACAGTACAAGTTGTTCTGTGCAAAATGAGATTAGAAACTTGTTTATTTCATTTACAGTCTCTGTATAAATACTCCCCAGCTAATATCTTAGAGTATTCAAGAAACTAGCCATCCTTTCCTCAAACTAAGAAAATCTCATTACACATAAAACTTGTTGTGATTTGAAATCTTAAAGGTGACATTCCAACAACCATCAATTTTTTTTTCTTTTACATTTTTCCTTCTGTGAAAAATGGAGTCATTAACCTCCTATTCTCTGGAGCCCAAAAGTCAAAAATTTTGGATGTTTAACATGTCCCAAAGGATTTAGAGTCCTTTGGTCCTTTGGTGTACTCTTTTGACTGGAATAAAATCATCAGCGGTAGGAATGTTAAACTGTCACCCTTCTAAGGTTATTAACAAAAATAGGATAGACTGTTCCTTAACTTAGCTACCCATTTTAAGTAATATTAAAAATACATTAATGACAAACAGCACATACCACTCTCATGATAGTCACGAGTTTATATTTGCACTTTAATACATTCTGGAAAAATCACCACCATAATTTTTAATGACTTCTCTGAAGAAATCACATTAAGACATTTAACCCTTGTTCTTGTCATTTTCATATGAACTAAGCTTATGAATATTGGCTAAGGTAACATTTTTGTCAGTCTATAGGTAAGCATTATGTAAAAAAAAAAGTCTGGGTTTCTTCCCTAATTATTATGTATTATATATAACATGTTTAGGATTAAATCTGGCCCATATTCTAATAAAGAGCATTTTTACTCTGTTTTTAGTTGTAATGCCCTCTAAATGGTTCTAATCAGAATAGAAACTCTTGGGTAGGAGGTAGAGAAGATGCAATTTTTGTTAAGAATTCCAGGCACTCTGCAGGTAAAATGTGAATTGTTCCATACAATTCAGTCAAGTAAAAATATAAAAATAAATGTAAAAACAAGAAAAGTCATGAAACTAGTTAAGATACTTAAATTTTAAGATGCATGGTGGCAAATTTCAAGTTTGTGAGCTCTCTTTGTTTAAAATGAAGTTTCATACGCAAAATACAGAAATCATTGATTACTGATAGAGAGATGCATATTTTCTCACTCCTGTTATAAAAGTATATAATATAAAAATCTGTTAAGCAATGAAATGACCAATGTAAGAAGCAAAAAGAAAAATACCGCATTTAACCTAAAGCCAGGTTTTTCAAGCTTGAACGTGAGAATCAGGAGAGCTTGTTAAAGCATGTGTTGTTGAGCTCCACCCCCAAGGCCTCAGATTCAGCGGTCTGGTTAGCACCCAAGAATCTGGGTGTGTAACAAGTTCCTGGGTGACACTGATGCTGCTGGTCTGGGGCTACACTTGAAGAACCACTGTCATTGAGAAGAGATAACAGTTTTTGATATAGCAGGAGGAGCACTGGTATGGGAATCAGAAACCTTCTGTGCCAAATGCAGGTTTAAAGGTAGAGGCTCTGGAAAAATGTACCTGGGTTTGAATCTCAGCTTCTGAGCAACATCTTTTTTATCCATAAAACTGGGATGATAGTAACTCCAGTTTCATTAAATTATATCACTCATTTTTATTATGTGGCATAGTGTCTAGATGTTGACAAAAAAATCAGCTAGTATTATTCACTGTAACCTTAGAAAAGACACATAACATGTATGTTACAGTTTTTATAAAAAGGTTGTATAAAATTATCTTTAAGAATTTATCACTCCAAAACCCTATAATTCTAAATATATTTTCCATCCTCCTTATTTAAGACAATTTAATATTAATACAACTTAATATTGTTCTGCTTTCCTAAGTGATCAGGGACATGAAAAGAAGGGTAACACAAGTCCCCTGCTCTTACCCTTAAAGGATTCCCAATTCAGTACAAGAGAAAGAAAGGGTACAAATGAGACTGTTAATAATAATAGTATATGTTGAAGTGCTATAGTTAGTGGTTCAGCAATGAGTTACATAGAAGTTTGGGGGAAAAAGTAGCTTCCCTAACTTCAAAGAGGACTTGGACCTTAAACTTCACAGCGAAGGATATGCAGAAAAATAATATTCATATAGCTCTATGCAGCTTCCAGAGCAATCTACATATGCTATCCCAGATATTATCCCATTTCATAAATGAGAAAAAACGAAGACTCAGAGCTGTAAAGTCATTTGACCAAAGTCACACAGCTAACAGGGTGGGAACCAAGACACGCTCTTGGCTCTTCAGACATGCTTTTTTCATTATATCGTGAAGCAAAGAGCAATTTAACCAAGGGCATGGAGGAAAAAATTAGTGCATGATATTCAAGAAATAGATCAATATATCGTGGCCAGGAGATTTAATTTAGTAACTATTAGCCCATAAGATCAGCTGGAGCTAGAGGTGGGATAGGGCAGAGGACAATGATATTCTTGAAATCCATTTTGAGGGTTTATATTTTATCTTGAGATCACTGGGTAGTTACTGAACATTTATCTGGATACAAGCCAGACTTAAGAAAACACACTTATCCATTCACTTATTCAACAATAATTGATTCGGCACTGATTAGGTGCTAGGTTTTGTACCAGGTTCTGGGGGATGAATAAGACATGGTTCCATCTTTAAGGAGATACAGTGTCTAGTGAGAGAGAAGGAAATGTATATAAAAAATTATAATGGCATGTGATAAATGTAATACTAAAAGTAGAATGCAGTCATGTGCAAACCTGCATTTGACTGCCAAAATATTTATTTGTAGTGCTCTTCTCCATTCAAGTAGATTTAGCATTAAATCAGTTACCGGTGAGTAACTCTAATTCATGTAAGAGAACTGCAAGTCCTACTTCGGTACAAATCCTAGGACAGCAGGTACAATTGCTATTTGAAGAGGAATGAGATTTCTCCTACAGGGTAAGAGAAGGAGCAGGAAGGACTGCATATAATATGGGATACATAAGCTGGAGCCTCAAAGATGAATAGAAATACATCTGACAGATTAGGAGGAAAAGCATCCCCAAAATTGCAAAGACCTAGGGCCCTGAAATAGCCTTGCCTATTAAGAGATTTGCAATGAAGTCGGTTTTGCTGGAGCATAAAAGGCATGACTGTTAATAGCCAAGAGCCTGGACTATGGTGATTGCAGTGGAAATGCATCATCAATGATAAATGTGCTTCTTAGAAAATTTAAATGAAATTATCTATATCAAAATGCCTAACACCATTCCTGGTACACCCTAGAGCCTCATTATGTTTCTTTCCTCTATCTTCACTTTACACCTACTTCTCTTATAAAGCTACACATAGATTCGAATTAAAAAAAAACTTATCTTTTTATTCATCAGTGTCACAACTCAAAAATGTCAGATAGCATCTTGACCAGCTATTATTGCAGCCTTTTAAAAAACACCAACTGCTTGTCTCAGAGGTGTGGTAGAGAATAAACAAGAAAAAGAAAAAAAATCAGCTATTATCTAATTCTCTATTACAATTCACTATTATGAATTCTCTCCCTTCTAAGATATGCCTTAAGAAACCCTGGAATTTACTCTGAAACCCAGATTCCTGGACAACTTCACAAACCTCTGGAGTCAGAATTCACAGACTGGGACTCTGTGAATACAAACTTCACAGGTAAATCTAACATGTGGCCAGATCTGAGATTCACAGATACAGCACCAGGAATTCACGAGAGACCCTCCAGTTGTGGAACACTGCACCCACATTTGCTGCTAATTTATATACTAATTTATAAAAATATTTGTTTATGGTTTTGTTAAATTTTGAGGTAAAATGTATATTCTGTGAAGTGCAAAACCCTGAATTTTTAGTTCAACAGGTTTTGATGAGTTTTGAGAAATATAAATCCCATGTTTCCTACACTCTATCAAGATATGGAATAGTTCCCTCACCCTAGAAAGTTCCTTCATGCGGCCTCTCAGTCAATCCTACCCCCTCCCCACCAGAAGAAATCACTCGTCTGATTTTTATCCTTAATGATTGGTTTTGTGTGGTTTAGAACTTCACATAAATGGAATCATACCATATGTACTCATTTGTGTCTGTTTTCTTTCACACACATAATTTCTGTGAGTCATCCACGATATTACCTATAGCTACAGTTTGTTTCCTTTTATTATTGAATAGTAAGTATGCCATTACATAAATATAATTTATTTATCCATTCTTCTGTTGATGGACATTTCCTGTCTTGGGTTACTATGAATAAAGCTATGATGGACATTCTTATAAAAGTATTTTGGTGGACATATATTTTTATTTATTTTGAGTAAATACTTGAGTAAATTTATCTTGAGTAAATACACCAGTGGCTTTAGTGAATCATAGAGAAGGTATAGGTTTAACATTATAAGAAACTACCAAACTTCTTGCCTTTGTCTTTTGACATGTTCTGTGGACCTTATAACTTTTCCTCTGGCCAGAGTTTGCTTTATTATTGCTTCTTCCCAGGAATGAAGCTGAACAAAAATTGGGACCCTCCTATTGCCATTATGAGACGCTGTTTGCTAATTATGGCATTTATGACCGAGATTTTTCAAGTCCCTTCCCTCCCTACAGCTGTGTTATCCTGTGGCTCTTGAATGACATTCATGTCATCACAAGAAGAAAATGCTGCAAGAAGTCTCTAAAACACCAGTGTTCTAAAATCAATCCTTACCTGCTCAGTGGATCAACTGGACAAAACCACTTACTGTAGAGTGTCCTTACAAAGTGAAACTTTTGCAGCTCAAAGCATTGAATGGGAGCAAGTGATATGCAGCTGCCCTAGAAAGCAGCTTTTAAAAAGGTAACAAAAAGTTTGGGCACAATGGCATTATTTTATCAGCTGCACCTCCCACCCTGCAACCACACAGTTTTTTCTTCCATTTGTTCCAGAAATTTTATTTTATTACCTGATCTATGTTGGGGCTGGGGATAGAGGAGCAAGAAGAGAACAGCTGCAATAATGACAATTTACTTCCTTCCAAGACATGCTAGTTCAGTAACAGTGACAAAACTCTAGCACTTTATCATAATTTCCCCTTTCCAGAGAGTGGACATATTACCTGAGTTTCATTTCCCCAAAGTGCTCTCCTCAGCAGTTCAATATTGTGCTTGAAGCATACTTATTTGATACTCCAGGATACTAAAATGAGCAAACAAAGAAAAATAGGTCCAGCCTATCTGCCAGGTTTGGAAGGGAAGAAAGCATATAGGAAGAACTTGTGCATGCATATGAAAGAGGAAATAAACAGAGACTGTTCTGGAAATGTTAAAGGGTTGGAGGTGTTATTAATGGTAGTATATGAAGCAGAACCTACATCCCCATGGTGCAGGGGCCATGGAGGGACAGAGTGGTGGAGACTGTTTGAGGTAGAATAAAAATGAAAATTGTGTGTTTGAGGTAGAATAAAAATGAAAATCGTGCATTTAAAAAATTTTGTGGTAGCACCGTACACTTCAATGGCCTCACTTTGTAAGTCATAGTCTATGTTTTAAGGTATTGTTTTGCAACTGGATTTCCTCCCCTCTTACTAGGTGATAAAGCCCCAGCTTCTCTCAATTTAAAGACAATTTAAAAAACAAAAAAAGGAAACATCTTTCACAGCTACCATCGGACTAGCAATGTAGAAAGCTTACTCTCCAGTAGACCTTGCTCAGTGGTAACTGGAAACCAGAAAGGGCAGGTCTCAGAACCGAGGCAGCAGTGAGCAGCTTCCTTCCCAGAAGCCCGGGAACAGAAGGCCCTTCTTTCAGCCACCGCCAGAACCACAAGGCCTGTCCACAGCCTCTTTCCCTGTGCCCTGGATGACTCCCTTGCTCCCCCACCCTTTTTCTTTTTCTTTTTTCTTCTTTCTTTCTCTAGGGGGAAGAGTGGGGGGCATCTGGTGCAGCCTCATCTTCCTCCTCCTCCTGCTGAGCCTGGGCAGCAACTCAGGGGAGGCAGCAGCGGGTGCAGCAGCCTGAGGGGCGGGATGATGAATTCAGAAACACAGGATCAGCGGAGAGATTAGGCTGTCAGCCTCCGAAGCACTTTCCTGCTGAAGAGGAGATAAGCAGGAAAAGGTGAATGAGAACACTAGTCACGGCAGATGGTGCGTGAGATTTGGAGGAGAGCAGGGGGAAACGGTTGTGGGAAAGAGAGGGGGTTTGGAGAGGTGCTGGTGGAGAGAGTAAATGGTGTCAGCAGGCAGTGTCTGGACCCAGCCGCTGCCCTTGACCAACCACGTGGGTCCCCTGCAGGAGGCTGGGTTGGGCAAGAGGGAATCTACTGGCCTGGCCCCATTCTGGATTCTGAACCTGGGCGGGTCCAGGGGCTCCAGCATCAAGCACATGAGGCTAGGATTACATTCTGGTCCCAATCCCCCTTTACCCAACCCAAGGTCACAGATTGTACCCTCAAGCCAGCCAGCCATGAGCAACTCCATGGAAATCAACACAGTGCCTGATACCTAGTGGGCACTCCACAATTATTTACAGAAGCAAACGGAACGATGCTTCCCTCAACTCACTTCTGGGAAAACAATTCAAAGCACACAGTGGCAGTTCTTGTTTTTAAACAAAGTGGAGCTGAGAGAGGTAATTAAAGCCAAATTCGTCCCTGTGACAAGTGTTTTGGACAGTTTTTCTTGCACAGAAAACATTAAAAGCCATCATAGATGGGAGTCTCAATAGGCAGGCCAGGTAAAAATAAGAGTTGTTTTAGCTGGACCAAGCTAAACACATCCCCACTTCACCACCACCCCTCACCTTCTCTCCTCCCAGTTGTCCCAGGCTCCTATCAACTCCTCAGGGTTCAGGAGAGCACAATTCAAAAATCACTGCCTCAAAACAAACTGAGATCAAATGGCAAGTGTTAGTGCCATGAACAAGATTGACTGAAGACAAAACCAGAGTCGTACGGAACACCTCATCTTTAAAGGGGGAGGAAGGATGCCACAACAACAGCAAAACTCAATTTAAAAATGGGCAAAAAGTTTAAATAGACATGTCTCCAAAGAAGATAGACAACTTGCCATAAACATATGAAAAGTTGCTCAACATCGCTAATCATTAGGGAAATACAAACCAAAACCACACAATAAGCTACCACCTCACATCCATTAGGATTGCTACTATCAAAAAAAAAGAGAAAGAAGAAGAAAGAAAGAGAGAGAGAGAGAGAAGGAAGGAAGGAAGGAAGGAAGGAAGGAAGGAAGGAAGGAAGGAAGAAAGAAAGAAAGAAAGAAAGAAAGAGAAAGAGAGACGGAAGGAAGGAAGGGAAGGGAAGGGAAGGAAAGAAAGAAAGGAAGAAAGAAAAGAATAAGCAGGGATGTGGAGAAATTGGAAACTTTATTCACTATTGGTGAGAATGCAAAGTGGTACAGCCACTAAGGAAAATGGTATGGAAGTTACTCAAAAAAATTAAACATAGAATTACCATATGATTCAACAATTACAGATCCAGAAGGATCAAAAGCAGGTACTTGAAGAGATATTTGTACACCCGTGTTCATAGCAGCATTACTCACAATAGCCAAAAGCTGGAAATAACAAAACAATGGATAAAGAAAGCATACTATATACATACAATAGAATATCATTCAGCCTTAAAAAGAAAGAAATTCTGATACATGCTACAACATGACTGAACTTTGAGGTCATTATGCTAAGGGGAATAAGCCAGCCACAAAAGGACGAATACTGTAGAATTCACTGACATGAGGTACATAAGGTAGTCAAATTCATAGAGATAGAAAGTAGAATGGTGGTTACTAGCAGCTGGAGGAAGGGGAATTTGGGAGTTGTTGTTTAATGGGTGCAGAATTTCAGTTTTGTAAGATAAAAAGAGTTCTGGAAATGAGAGGTGGTAATGATTGCACAACAATATGAATGTACTTAATGCTACTGAACTACATACTTATAAATGGTTAAAATGGTAACTTTTATGTTATGTGTATTTCACCACAGTTTAAAATGTTTTTTTGTTTTGTTTTGTTTTGTTTTGAGACGGAGTCTTGCTCTGTCACCCAGGCTGGAGTGCAGTGGCGCGATCTCGGCTCACTGCAAGCTCCACCTCCCGGGTTCGCGCCATTCTCCTGCCTCAGCCTCCCGAGCAGCTGGGACTACAGGCATCCGCCACCATGCCCAGCTAATTTTTTGTATTTTTAGTAGAAACGGAGTTTCACTGTGTTAGCCAAGATGTTCTTGATCTCCTGACCTTGTGATCCACCTGCCTCAGCATCCCAAAGTGCTGGGATTACAGGCGTGAACCACCAATGTTTTTAAAGGCAGAGGAGATGAAGGAAACTATCTGCATGTCTGAGAATTGGGCCCCAGTTCTGGGTGGTTATTTTTTATGGTTACATCTGCTAACCAGAGAGAACTGTCCAAGTCATACGTGCAACAGCCCCCGCTTCCTCATCACATCCTATTTCAAACTCATGGCTAAGAGGGCTTAATTTGAATCTGTTGTCTCAGTCAGATTCCATTGCTGCCACTAACTGCCCTTTCATGGACAGAATTTGAATCCTCCACCTTTTCATTTTAAATTTATTCCAGCCTCTTTTCTTCCGGCCTTAGCAAACCTCATCAGGAAAGCAGACAGATGCTATCTAACCTAAGAGTAGTCCCATGCCAGTCCCTCTTGAGTAGTCTGGATCCGCTCTCTTCTGGAAAATATCGACCCTCTCTGCTCACTCAGCTCAAGCAGAACACTAAGAATGAGTATTCCAGCTATGCTGGCATCATGTGTTATATTAACATTATGTTAATTAACTGAAAAGCCACACATTGATTTTTCTTGAGAGGTTCCAAGGATCAAATATCAATGCATGGAGTCAGCAAAGCCTAATTTACTAATGGATTTTTAGCTTACATGGAGAAAAGAGCTTCAAGGGAAAAGCAATTTTCCATTTGCCAGAAGACATGAAGGACTTACCTTGTCCAATTGATTTAGAGAATTTCCACATGCCAAGAAAGCCAAGAAAATATGTTTATAAACAAGACTTATGTTTTTCTTTAATTGTTGTAGAAAAGGTCTAATGGAAAGAATCGATCTTAAAACATGAACCCAAGTTCAATTAATATTGAGTATCTGGGAATTGTGGATCAGGATAAGCATAATTCATTAAACTTGGGCATTAAAATCTATTCTGTCAAGGCTTTGAACAATATTATATATCAAAAAGTATTATGCACTTATAAAATCCTTATGTATTTAGGAGTAAAAGGAGTATTCTTTCCAATAACCCAATAAAATAACACTGTGCTAGACACTGGGACCCGAAAATAAATGAGACATGTTCTGTACTGGAACTCAGAGTAAAATAAAAGCAACCATTGGAAGCCCCTTCAGTGAATGGCAATAGGTAGAATTTAGTGATTGGACTGTTCAAATTTATCCCTAGACATCTCCTTTTACTCATAGTCATTACCATCATCCTTTTGGCTGGTTTCCAAAAACCGCAGTAGGGTGGGGGCACAAAGCGTAAAAATTCCAGTTACAAAACAATAGTCTCTGTCAACAAACAGGACACATCCTTGGTACCACAGCCTCATATGCCTTCTCTGGTTCAAAAAGATACTGGGAGTTTTTTGTGAACATATGATGACCTTTCAGCTTGCTTCCTATGGCTCTAACACTGTTGTCTTGCCATACTCGTGTCACTCCAGTCCCAACTGAAGGAAAGTTTCATCCCCTCCTGTGTCAGAGACTACTATGATTCACCAGAACCATTTCCTCTTTCCCCACAGCACACAGTTATACTACATTTCCCAGCCTCCTTTGCGATTGCATGGCCATGTGATTGAGTTCCAGCCAATAGACTGTGGGAGGAAGTGATGGTCACCACTTCCTGGCCTGGCCCATAAGGCCTCCATGATTCCCTGCCTTCTTTTTCTCTTCCTGGTTGTCAGTGCCTGGGGCAACTTTGGAGGCCACATATTGAAGATGCCAGAACGTCTCTCAGCCTGGGTTCCTACGTGACTGAGCAAGGTCTCCCTTACCACCTATCATCCCACCACCCTGCTCAATACCACTACTGCCACCCACCAATGGGTCTTCATATGAACAAAATATAAACTATTGTGCTAGGCCACTGAAATTGGGTAGTTTATCTGTTACAGCCAGAGGCATATAGTGAAGCATAAGTTTCAGGACCGTTCAAGTGAAGGGTCCTTTCAAAGAACATAGAAAAGGCCCTGGCAATGTGCTCTGGTAGTGGCCAGGGGCATTTTTGGAATCTGGTTAAGGGAAGTTTATTTTAGATTTTTAATGGGATCTATTCATCTAGATCAAAATCTCTTCCAGATACAGTTAAGTTATTACTCTAGCTGTACCAGCAGAGAAATGGCTTCCAGGAATTCTTCTACTGCCTTTCGTGCCAATTCACCTGACATCCAGATGTGAAGGAGCAAGACCAGAAGGTTTAACTCAACATGCACAGGTCCTATGGTACCTTGCACCAGAGGGGTAGGTAGTAGGAAAGAATAAAGTGTGAAAGGTAGCATGTCGGAAGCTTCTTTGTGGAAATATCTTGTAATCATAAGACATGTAAACATGTAAGCAGGGAATTTGGCTCTCATCAAACCTAGTAAAAACAAAGATTGTCTCTCTGTTTCTTACAAGAATCACTCAAAATATAATTTTTCAGAATTTTTGTGTTTGTTGAGCACCTGCTGTAGGAATGCTACAAAGAGCACATTGTTTGCATTGCATTTTCATTCATTTATTCATTCTAACAATCAATAATTAAGAATTGATTTTGATTAACCATCTTAAAAGAAAGGCCAAATTATGTTTTCATTCTCTCTAAAGAAACTGATATTTTAAAATCATTGTCATATGAAGAGATGATCAAAAGGCATGCCAACAAAGAAAGGGAGAAAAAAGGTATTGGAGAGGTACATCATATCATTAATAAAATATATGATTTCTGAGCTTTGTGATATTTGTCAGATTTTTAATGTAATTTATTGTGATTTATTGTAATATTCTAAAGAAATATTCGCTTTCATATCAAATTTTATATTTGTAATTGTGCATTCTTTTCTCAAAGAAAGTCTGCAACATTTTATTAATATAATCTTTAGGCCCCACTTAACCTAAGTCCACCCCAACACAGCAGCTAGCATCACCCTGCTAACATTCTGCATTGCCCAGAGTTACTAGGTCTTACAGGGGAACTGCTTTCACTCCTAGCACCCTAGGGCATCTCCAGGGATGCCTCTTTTCCTCCTCACACCAGTTCCCGTCTCTCAAGGAATATGGTGAAGGTTCTTCGAGACTGAGTTGCAAGGCAATATGAAGACACTTTTCATCTGTACTCACAATGATTGCTCTCTTCCTTTCAACCAGCATTCCTGGACTCAGAATGAGCATCTTTTTTCTAGCTCCCCATTACACATGGCACCAACTGTTACTCTCGGGAACCAATTGTCCGATTCAATCAAACCACTCATTGTGCCTCCCCTGAGCTTATCAGGCAAACCCAGACTGGCCAATCTGCCAGTTAAACCTCCAGACATGCCCAAGCACATCTGAGGCCTGTACAGCAGTTACCTAGTTTGGCCTTGGCTTCAAGTCTTTCTAGCCAAAAAGTTCTTCTAGGTAATGAAATTTCACTTGATCCTACGGGAATGTGAGCAGGATTCCTCCCCATGTTATAGGTAAGGGAATTGGACCTTGGAGAGTATAAGTGACTTTCCCAGGGTCACAGAACCCAAGTCACAAATTAAGCGCTGAAACCCAAACTTTCTGCCTCTAGAGTGTGTGTTCTTGCCACTAAGCTCCTCTGTGTCCCCTGGGTCTGTTGAGATATACAGCACTGACTACAGAAAGGCCTGGCAAGGTGAAGATGCTAAAACATTAGCCCAGCTGTAGAGGGTTTTCAGGAGATTCGGAGCTGTATTTTTCTTTAATAGGAAAAAAGGAGTTGACATCTTCCACCAGTAATGAGCATGAAGTGGGCTATTTCTTCCCTGACCCATATCATCTTCAATTGAGAGGAAATCAAGTAGACGGCCCTATAATGCTTTTCTGCTTAACTAATCATTGGTAGTATACAACCAGTACAACAAAGTATGCCTTCTTTTTTGTGTACCATGATATCCATGGTACACAATACCAGTACGTAATCAAAGCTACTATTCATCTACATTACAGATTAAAGAGTGATTTCTGGCCCAGCATGGTGTCTCACACCTATAATCCCAGCACTTTGAGAGGCCAAGGTGGGCAAATCACTTGAGGTCAGGAGTTTGAGACCAGCCTGGCCAACTTGGTGAAACGCCATCTCTACTAAAAATACAAAAATTAGCTGGGCGTGGTGGTGGGTGCCTCTAATCCCATCTTCTTGGGAGGCTGAGGCACAAGAATCTCTTGAACCCAGGAAGCGGAGGTTGCATGAGCCGAGATAGTGCCACTACAATCCAGCCTGGGCGATAGAGTGAGACCAAGTCTCAAAAATAAATAAATAAAAATAAATAAATAAATATTGATTCCTAATGCTACTGCATAAAGTGTAACTGAAAGGAGGATGGGATAAAAGGAGAGGATCTGGTTTTAAACAAAACAGACTGCTATGGTCTGAATGTGTTCCCCAAAATTCATGTGTTGGAAACCGAATCCCCAGTGTTGGTGCTGGAAGACCCGGCCTTTTGGGAGGTGTTTGGGTCCAAAGGACTCCACCCTCATGAATGGATTAATGTCATTCTGAAAGCAGCTTGCAGGAGAGAGTTCACTCTCAGTGCTCTTCTGCCATGTGAGGACACAGCATTCGTGCTCCCCCTTTTGCCCTTTCACCTCCACCACCATGAAGCAAGAGGGTTCTTACCAGACACTCAACTTGCTGGTGACTTTCCAGCCTCCAGAGCTGTAAGGAATAAATGTCCGTTCTTCATAAGTTATCCAATCTCAGGTATTATGTCATAGCAGCACAAAATGGACTAAGAGAGAGACTGAGCAGCTTTGATCTATTAGTGGCATAATTCACAGCGGAGGAGATGACTCTCCGCTGGAACATTTCTCGACAGATCTTTGGTTGAGAGAGGTGAGCCCCAGCCCCACTCCACTTCTCCCAGGGGCCACCTAAAAGCAAAGATGCAACTGGAAAAGAGTTGTGTGTCTGCATATGAAAATAACAGGATGTTAAGGATTGTTCATTGACAGCTTGAGAGGCTGGGCTGAGGTGTATGAGGGAACTGGAAAGGAGGAAGGAAGAGAAATAGAAGAAAGTTCTAGAGGAGAAGAAAGGGGTTATAAGTAGAAGCTGAAGTAGGAGATTACGGCTCAGTAAGAAATGTCCCGAATTAAGAAAAGGCATGGAATCTTTAAGACACAGAAATCTACAATTCATTAAAGATTTTTCTTGTAGCACACTGCATTGTTATCAGCCTCAAACCCCTCCTCTCCCCTAAGGCTGCCAATAAAGTTCTGTTCTCCACAACAGCCTTTGTTAGGACACTGGGGAGAAGGAACCAGCATTGAGCCCTGCATGAAAAGGGCCATCCAAGAAGAGAGCAGTCTCAGGAGGCAAGACAGCTGCTTCCCGATGGTTTCCAGGATTGAGGCTCCTCTGATAGTCCAAGGAATATCAGGAATACTTCCAGAAACATATGTGATAGAGATTCAAACCATCTCATTTGGATACTAAATGATGACCAAAGAATTTTGCAGGAAATGGGGATGTCTGGGCTGCACACACCTAATATCATCAAATGGCTCACTAATAAGACTGATGTCAGTCTTTGAGTCTTAGCCTGAATCAACATACATCATGCAGGAACAGAAGCACGGAGATCTAAAAGACTAAGAGAACCAGCTAGTGGCAAGACTAAGGTTAACTCAAGCAATCTGCCTCTCTGTTCACAGCCCTTCCGAGAACCATCTGTTACTGCTGAATTGTGTCTCCCCAAAAGTCATGTGTTGAAGTCCTAACCCCCAAAAGTACCTCAGAATTTAACTATATTTAAAGATACGTTCTTTAAACAGGTAATTAAATTAAAATGAGGTCATTAGGGTAGGCCCTAATCCAATATGACTGATGCTTTTTATAAAAACAGGACACAAACATACACACAGGGAAGACCATATGAAGACACAGAATAAGACGGCTACCTACAAGCAAGGAGAGAGGCCTGGAACAGACCCTTCCCTCTTGGCCCTCAGAAGAAACCAACCCTATTGTCACCTTGGCCTCAGACTTCTGGCCTCCAGAACCATGAGACAATAAATTTCTGTTGCATAAGTACCCCCTATCTGTGCCCCTGCCAATCTGTGGCACTTTGTTATGGTGGTCTCAGGAAGCTATTATGCCCCCGCCCCCGTCTCCTATGTGGTGGGTGAGGTGGCACAAGTGCTGTCCTCACATGTCAAAGTGACAAAACTAAAATTTCAAACTATGAACAAAAATCCTGGGTTTATTTGCATTTTCCATCTTGAGTAATTTGATCCACCAGCAAACTAGATTTACTGCATATGTACAAAGCATTTTTGCATATAAACTTGCAATTTCAACAAATAAAACCCTATTGCAGGCTAAACATGAAAATGAAAACAATCTACGCTCTCTTTTGCACTTGTCTCCAGGAAAGCAAAATATTTCCATTATTTAGGAATAAAAAGTATTTATTTTGTATTTCATTTAATAGTTAATTCTATATTTCTAAAGATTTTTACATTGTGTCTAATTCTGTGAAACCTAATTCATCGCCTATTTAGAGTAGAATAGTGCCAGTGTGTTCTCTGCTACATTGTCAAGATATTTCTTAGTTTGGGGTCCATATTATTTATGTCTGCACTTTAAAATTAACCTAGGAATCCATCATGATTTTTAGGCTTTATCAATATCAAGAAAACAGTGTAAGAAGGTCAGGGGGGCGGGAGCGGTGGCTCATGCCTGTAATCCCAGCACTTTGTGGGGCCAAGGCAGGTAGATCACGAGGTCAAGAGATCAAGACCATCCTGGCCAACATGATGAAACCCCGTCTCTACTAAAAATACAAAAATTAGCTGGACGTGGTGGCACATGCCTGTAGTACCAGTTACTTGGGGGGCTGAGGCAGGAGAATCACTTGAACCCAGGAGGAGGAGGTTACAGTGAGCCGAGATCATGCCACTGCACTTGCACTACAGCTTGGCAACAGAGCAAGACTCCATCTCGAAAAAAGAAAAAAAAAAAGAAGGAGAGGGTCCCCACAGAACAGTACACTTGTACAACCCTTATTGAATTGTAGCCAAAAGGAAACATGGCAAATGACTCAGAAAATGTATAAATTGTCACCTTTATGTGAGAAACTTTTGTCCCACTTGTCAGAGTGTATTCAAATATTTTCCCAAACCTAAACTACATGCATCTCAAACAAATCACTCTTCTCGTCTTCTCTAAGTGTGCCTGCAGAATTAATGCACGTGGCGGACACTGTTTTTAGAGTGTTCTATTTGACCTACTGAGTACTAAAAGAACAAAAATGATTTCACCTCTCTAGACACATTCTCCTCCTCCACATGAGCTTTGGGAGACTTTGGATTGAGTATAGGGCTAAAATTGCAATCCAAAGAAATGCAGAACTAAACAGTGTTGGGTCAATTGGATACAGAAGCAGCAAAACATAATATTGTATCTTTATCTCACAAATAAAATTATTTCCTAGACCAATACCTCTCAAACGTTGGTGTGCACAGGAAGATGTTGTAAATAGCAGACCTGAGGCCTGAGGTAAGAGCTGAGAGTGCATTTCTAAAATTCTAAGGTGATGGTGCTGCTCGTTCATGGAACACACTTTGAGTTCTAGATTTATAGATTTATACAACTATAAAATGTAGTGATATAATTATGAGACAAATGTAGCAGCATATTTTTGTAATTTGGGGGTCAGGATTTCTTTTTGTAGTAATTTTTAAAAAGACAAGCAAGGTTATATATATAAATATTTTAAACCTCTATATGATGAAAACTTCTGTATGATAAAGTTGAAGGACAGTTAAGAAACTGATCAAGTATTTACAACCTACGTAACAAAAATTCCTATTCAGAATATATAAAGAAATCCTGCAAATCATAAAAAACAGAAATCACAGAAGAATTTCAATTTGCTAATAAATATATGAAATCGCTGCAACCTTATTAGTAACCAAAGAAATGCAAATTGAAACCATACAAAATATTTTCTACTCAGCCAGGTGTCAAAAATTGAAAACAATGCTATGTCAGCATTTTATGATCTGTTAAGTTTAAGGCAATACAGCTCCAAAACTGGGAATACCATATGTTATCATAGATTCCATTTCAAAGATGAGGAATCTGATGCTTAGGGACATGAAATGATTTGCTCAAAATTACTTACTGCAATAGCTAGTCCAGAACAGTGGCCTCCTATCTGTCAGTTTAGCTTTGGAAATAAGATATATCAGAGTAAAAATTTTTGGTGGCATATTATAATCCATAAAACAGCAAGACCTATCATTCTCCCCCGTTTATCCTTGCTAGTAATGGTGTTTGTGCATTACTTTACATAACAGATTACAGAAATAGAGAATTCAATTTTTTTATCACATATATAGACCTGTATATGCTGTGATGTATATATAAATATGACTTTTATATGTTATATATGTGATGTATAAATGTATATATCACAGCATATATGTCTATATATAAATAACTGTAATCAATGATACTGTGAAAAAGCTATATCAACCATTACATGAAAGTATGTATCCAAAGTATGTAGAAACATTTTCACTTTTAAAAATACATTTTTAAAGAATTTCCTAATAGTTCATCATATGATAGGATATGCCATAATTTATTCCACAAATCCCCAACATTGGACACTTGATTGGCTCGTCTCTTTCTTCCTCATGCTATTCCAAACACCATCTTGATAAACAAATAAATCTGTGTTCACTTGGCTATTATATCTTTAGGATACTCACTGAAAAGCAGAATGCAAACCAAAAGTTGAAAATAATAAATATTTTGATGTATATCAGCAAGCTCCTTTTCAGAAAAGTTATGGCAACTAAGGCACCCACCATCAGTGTATAAATGTTATCATATTTAAACAAATAATGTGATTGCTGAAAAATTCACTGATTAAAATTTTAGTATGTTAACTATTAGTGAAGTTCCACATTTTTGCAGGTTTATTAACCCATTTGTATTTTCTCTATGTGAACTCCCCCTCCCCACTTCCTCTGCCAGATTGCTGTTGGAGGTCTCAGTGTCTTTTCTGGCCATTTGAATACACTTTTTAGCTATTTAAAAGATTTGTTTTTGTTCATCATATTTGTGGTAAATATTTTTTCCACATTTTGCCAACTTTTTTCTTTTTCATTGAGGAGCTTCTCTGCAAGACCAATAGCTCTATGCCCTTGTCATCTGTAGCAAATTCTTCTCCAGCCCTATTGCCACCATTATGGGTCCACGTTCTCAGTATCTAAATATTAAATCTCCACAAGAACCTTATAAAGATCTCCTTGGCTAATTCTGTCCTCCCAGACCCGTCCTACTTGACAGCGCTAGATTACTTATCCTAAAACCCTTTTGAATCATTTTACATGTAAAAGAGATGACTTGCTTGGGGGTAGTATGAATGAGTTCATGCCGATGCACCTGCGTTTGCTTATACAGAGGATCAATATATTTTCTACCTTTGTACGGATTAGGCGAGAGTAACAACTTAATTTACTCCGGACACCTCTATTAAGGACTCACTCAATCCCAGGGTTACTTTAAGCAGATTTTCCAAAACCTCTATCTCTATTTTCAGATCCACCTATTGGTTGGGCCGAAGGAGCCATCCATTCTTATTAACTCAAAACCTTTTGTTTCCTCATCACTTTCTTCACAAACAGCATCAAAAACTTGTCATGCTCTGATCTAACCTTTTCTCAAACCAGTGTTTTTGTTTTTGTTTTTTCAAAATAGCTAGAAGAAAATAATTTACATATTTTCAAAATAAAGAAAAGACAAATATTTAAGATGAAGGCTATTCCAATTACACTGACATGATCTTTACAAATTATAAGAATGTATAAATTTATCATGTAACCCCAAAATATATACATCTATTATGTATCAATAAACATTTTAAAATCAAATTAGTGTTTTTAGTCCCACATCTAAATAGCTAGTCAGAGGCACTCATGTGCTTGTATTTCTTCACCATCTCTCTTCACTATTCTTGAGAATAGACTATAGTTATCTGTTCTGCCAAACATCAGAGACACACTGTCTCCTTTGGAGGGTCATCTCTAGGTCATTCTCATGAAAGGAGGGAGTTCAGTTGAAGTGAATGTGACAGCCAGGGAGCTGGTCTCAAAATAAAATGAGTCCCTGGGGTCAACTCACCAGGGTGCCTGTAAGTGTCTACAGAAGCAAAAAAAAAAAAAAAACAAAAAAACAAAAAAAGTTTCTTCAAGGACAGAGATAGAGTTGGCAGCGAGGGTCCTTCAGATGAATGCCCCCTACTCTGCAGCCTGTGACCTCTGCCTCTCCACAGACAGTGTCTGAAGGGGTCATCACCCATGCTTTCACAACGGAAGACACAGACTTTTCCAGTTCCCAGAAGAATGTGTGGCTGGGGCGTGAGTGTCCTCCAAGTTCATTACCCTGTCTCTTCTGTCTCCAGCCCCTCACAATTCGGGTACAGGGGGAGGGTCTAACTAATAAATTTGAGTCATACAACCTTCTGAAAATGCTAATGAGAAAGAGTAGGGCCCCAGGAAGCATCAAAATGCTGACATGATTAGGGATGTGTTTGAACCTGTGCAAAGCAATGTGGCATATTTATCAGGCAGTCTTCCAAGCATGCTGGGTCTCCTTGAAGATGCAACAAACACATGTGCTTCTGGAGATCAGACTCTTGTGTTTAATGGCAAGATTATTTTAAGTTTCTTTTGCTTCCCTAGCTCCTGCTACAAGTTGACCAAGGAGGTACACATGTGCTTTTTCTTCGGAATTGGTTTCTTTAGGAAGGAATGCTAACAAGGCAAGAAAGTCAGTGATTAACTCTGCTTTCTTTTAGTTCTTCTTTGCTTTAAATGCTTCATTCACACTTTGCTCATTTCCTGCCTTCACTCCTTTCTTGCTCAAGCCATTTTCCATCGTCTCACAGAATCACAGAACTTAGAATTGGGCAGCACCTGGGAAGCCAACCCAACTGCCTCACTGCACAGAAAAGAAAACTGAAGCCCAGTGAAGTGAAATGCATTGCCCCAAATCCCACTTCTAGAGAGCAGCAGCCTGCCCCACAACCAGAATGCCCTTGTCACCATCCAGCACCATCCAGGGGAGCATCCAGCACAGCTTTCCTGACTGCTCTTTGCTCTGCATCTCCCTCAGCACCTTAAAGTCTGTGTGACCCAGACGTCAGTGATGAATGGGAACACAGTGACAGGATGGATTCCTGCTCTGTTTCACAAATCAGAGCAAAAACAAACTCGCACCTTGGACAGGCCCCAGAAATCCTCTCAGTCTGCACTCTCCCATTCCCAGCTTCTCAGGCTTCTAAGCAATCCTCAGGCAGAGTAGTATGTTTTGTACAGAACTCAATGATAAGTTATGTGTTTTTCTTAAAGAAACCAGATTATCCCCTCTTCATCCTCCCTTTCAAGCCAACAGAATATATATGTGCATATATATATACATACATACATACATATATATATACACATACATACACACACACACACACACACACACACACACACACACACATATATATATACTTTTTTTGTGTGAGATGGAGTCTCGCTCTTATTGCCCAGGGTGGAGTACAGTGGCCCAATCTCGGCTCACTGCAACTTCCGCCTCGTGAGTTCAAGCTATTCTCCTGCCTCAGCCTCCCAAGTAGCTGGGATTACAGGCATGTGCAACACCACCTGGCTAATTTTTGTATTTTTAGTAGAGATAGGGTTTCACCATGTTGGCCAGGCTGGTCTCGAACTCCTGACCTCAAGTGATCCACCTGCCTTGGCCTCCCAAAGTGCTGGCATTACAGGTGTGAGCCACCACTCCCAGCCATGTGCATACATTTTTATAGACAATGATAGGAGAGCAGAGTGGCTAAAATCTTGGGGCTCTGGAGTAAGATCAGAGCTCAAATTCTAGTTCTGCCACTTACTAAGTGGGTGACTTTAGATAAATTGTCTTCTCTCTTACGCTTCCATTAGCCCCTCTACAATGAGATGATAATAGCTATACCTACTTCAGTAGGTTGTCAGGAGAGCTGATGAGAACTTATATGTGTGTGGCACAGTACATCTGTGTAGACACGCACACAGGCAGATACATGCACACCCCCAAGTATATAAATCATTTAGTACAGCTCCTGATGCCAATGTTCAGCAAAGGCTAATCATGATTATATTTATAAAACTAAAAATGTCAGACCTTATTATTCATCCATCTAATTGGTTTACTGCATAGACTAAAATCCACGGGGAACAAGAAGGAGGTGGCTTTTAATTTCTTTCGAAACCACAGCTTTCAAAAACACTCTTTGAAATACCTCCTCTCCTCGCCCTGAGAACCTCTCAGCTGCAAATCCTTTTAGCCATCTGTCCCACTCAGAACAGTCCCATTTTAATAGTTAGGACTCACTTTCTGGCTTTAGAATGTTCATGTTCCTCCAACTCCCATTCTGAGCCTACCCTCTCCACCAGCCCAGCCTGACCCTTGGCTCCTGGACCTGCACTTTCTTCTCTCACCCTGCTCTTCTAGAGGTTCCCCTTTGGCTTTTACCTCATTACTCCTCAAATTCTCTTCTTCCATGAATTCTAGGATTTTGCTTAAATGGGCTACATCTACAGTTGGTGGAGTGAGGGTTACAAGATAAGCCTGGTGATTCTTAGTCCCTAAAATGGGATCTTGGCAGCCCCGTGGCTGCTGTCCTATGAAGCAGAGGTGCTTGGATCTACTGTCCTCACCTTTAGGGTGTTGAGCAAAAACCTAAGGCAACAGGAAACGTCCCACTTCATACCCTGTCACACGTGTTTCTTCTGGGCACCAGATGAAAAGGAATGCTTCTCTGTGAGGGCTAATGCAGTTCTTTCTGGGTAGCTCTAGGGGACAGAGACCACAAACCTCCGTTTCCTATGAAAGATGGCAAAGGGAAGCAGGAAGAGTTGGAGAGTTTCAGCCTTTGACTGAGCCCCATCACTGTCTGACTTTTGCTGCCTCAGGTGTTTCTTCCAACCTAATACTAACCCATTACACAGCAGAAATCTCTGAACACATTGTTAATCTGTTAGGATAGTCTGGGATGTGTAATAAGAAATGGCTTCATGCTTTAATGATCCCAGTGTTTGATGCAATTCATATGTGTATGAAGTACTGCCACCATCATGGGTACCATCTGAGCATCTCCCAAAATAAGAGCATCTTTTGTTCATTCATTCGTTCATTTATTCAACACATATTTATTGTTTACTATGTGCCAGATTTGGGGGCTAAAACAGGGATCAAGATGAATAAAGTCCATGATACAGCTAAGAGATAGTTCATGATGATAGAGCTCAGTGAACTCTTAGTCTAGAGTCGGACAATAAACTAATAAATAAATCATTGTAAATGGTGAGAAGGAAATAATCAAGGAGTTGCTGCTATAGAGGATGATGCGAAGACCTACTTACATATAGTTAAAGGGGATGGTATTAGATTGATGCAAAAGTAATTGTGGTTTTCGCCATTACTTGAAAGTTTTTGCCATTACTTTCAATGTAATGGCAAAAACCACAATTAATTTTACACCAATCTCATATTTAAGCTGAGAGGTTACAGAAGGAATGCCCAATGACAGGGAGGGGTGAAGGAATTCCAGACAGAGGTTTCAGTATGCACAAAATCCAGAGGAAGAAACGCAGTTAGCCTGCTTGAGAAACTGAAGGAAGAATCATGTGGCTGGAGCACAGTAAGAGACAGTGGAGAGCTATGGAGAAGGCCAGATGGGCAAGGTCTTACAAATCATGGAAAGGTATGGAAGCCTTTCCAGGTAAGGCATGTAAGCAATGATTTAAGTCTAAGTGCAATGGTAAGCCAGAGCTGGGTTTTAAATGAGGGGAATTTCTTATCTTGCTTTTGGACATTGTAGCACGATAAATGGTGCCCCCTCCCCCAAACTATTATGTCAAAGTCCTAACTTCCAGAACCTGTGAATGTGACCTTATTGAGAAAAAGGGTCTTTGCAAATGAAATCAAGTTAAGGATCTCAAGATTAGACCATCCTGGATTAACCAGGTGGGCCCTAATCCAATAGCAAGTGTTTCATAACAAACAGAAGAGAGGGCAGACAGAGAAAGGAGGCCACATGAAGACAGAGGCAGAGATTGGAGTGACGCAGCCACAAGCCGAGGAACGCCTGGAGCCACCAGAAAATTGAAAAGGCAAGGAAAGATTCTTCAGAGCCTTCAGAGGGAGCATGGCTCTGCCAACATCTCAATTTTTGCCCTCCAGCCTCCAGAACCATGAAAGAATAAATTACTAGTGTTTCAAGCCACCCAGATTGTGGTATTTTGTGATTGCAGCCCTAGGAAACTAACACAGACACCACTGAAAACTGGCAGCTTCTGCTGAGCCACCTCAGAGTGCTGATGTTGGAGATTTGGCAAGTAGTTTGGAATTCAACCATAGGAGGTTAGAACTGAGAATCTGATAAAGATCTTCCCAAAGCCACAAAACTGTATCTCTATTTTACCCAAGTTAAGAACTTTTAATCCATCACCTGCCTTGTGCCATACTACTGGGCAATTGTGAGAGAATTCATTCTCTTAGGGACACCAACAATAATAGCACTGTGTGTGTGTGTGTGTGTGCATGTGTTGTATATGTGTGTATGTGTGTGTTGTATATGTGTGTATGTGTGCCAGCATGCATGTGTGTACCCATGCAGGAGCATATGTGGGTATGTCTGACTACGTGTTCACTTGTGCATGAATTTTGGTAGAATCTGAAGGAATTGGACCTGCATTTTCATTCACCACTTTGGCCACTAGCGAGAGTTCCCTAACAGGAATGTCTCTTCAGTGGGCAGCAGGAGGCAAGTGGACCAGAACAAAGGAGAGAGAACATAGGACTGAACCATCCCCAGCAAGAGAGGCAAATCACTAACCGTTAGTCTCTCCAGCGTAATAACTTGAAAGGACTTGCCATCTCATGCTTTCCCCACTGTTTCATTTGTCTTCTTTTATAGCGTTCTTTCTTCTCCTCCTCCGCTTCAGACGATATTCAGTTTAATGGCTGAATTGAAATCGACCATGAAAAGAATCCAAGCAAATGAGCTCAGACCGTTGCACAAAAGAGAAAGTGGAGGAGGGAGAGGAATGAGATGAGGGGGAATGTGTAGGAACGATGCTATAGAAAGAGGAGGTTTTGGCTCCAACACTGTTGCCATAGGCAGAGTGTCCCCATACAGCTCAGCTGTCTTCACAAAGATGGTTTTTGCTTCACCCAATAGTCATTTTTGTCAGATCTCCATCTCCGGCCTGGGACTGAATACCACAGTGCACAGAAGAGGCATGCCAGAACTGGAGGATTCCCCATCCTGGAAACAAGGCCAGCGCTGTTGCATCCTGTGGCAAAAGCACAGACCAAAAAAATGCTGCTCGGTCAACCCCTCTCATTCTGTTCAGGCCACTGGACACAGCTTTTGCCAGCTCCAAATTCACTTTTTGTCCAAAGAATCAATACACCTATTGAGAGGGTGTCCAGGAATGGCCTTTCCTCTGTCCCTTTCTGGTGCCGCCAGGCAGAAAGCCCAGCAGGCTCTGTTTTGTTTCCTGAGCTCCAGCCACGGGAGGACTGGACCACATGGGGACCCCCAGCCCCCTGCCCTGCTTGTCTGCATTCAGCACTCTTGCTCTGCTTCCTTGTCCTCTGCCACAATAGTGGCCCATTTATTGAGCATCCACCTGTGTACAGCACCATGCTGAGTACTGAGAGAAGCAAGATAAAGGGAATAGGAGGTTCAAGTTGCCATAGAATTTCCAAACAGCAGCATCCAGAAACCTGTGTGGATGAAAGATTCTAATCACCAGGTACAACCTACGCGTCTTTTTGGAAGTGGGTCGGGTCTTCTGCCTACAACCTGTAGGTAAACTGTTTTTACACCCTAGTCCTGCAAGTATGTATAGTTAAGGATTGCATAGTGTCTACTCGCTATTTTTTTTTTTGCTTGTTTGTATTTTGGGTGACTTCCCCTTTTTCATTGATTTATATTTCTTTTCAACCCCTCTTCTCTCTAGCGTGACTCCTCAATTTTCAGTGATAAAGACATATCTTTATTCACGGTCATACAAACATATACAAATGTTTGTATTTTCCATTTCTCTTTTTTTTTTTTTTACAAAATGCATTCATATTATATACATTTCCTTGCCCTTTGTCTTCTCACTTAATGCATAATGAACATTCCCCTTAGTTAATGGATATAGTTCTAAGTTCTTTATATTTTTTTACAGGTACATTGTATTCCAAGGTTAGATATACCTCAACGTACTCAATTATTTCTCTACCAATGGTCATTGAGGTTGCTTCCACTACAAATACTGCCACTAGGAACATGGTTACTTAAAAGTCCTTGTTCATATATACTTAAATCTTGAGTTTGTGTTTCTACAGGATAACTTCCTACCAGGAGCATTCCTAGGTCAATTACACATATTTGCATTGAAATAGACACTGCAAGCTTGTTTTCCAAAAGACAGGCAGTGTTTCTCATTCCCACCAGCAAGAAAAGAGAATGCCCTTTTTGGACCTCCTAGCCCACAGAGGTTTTAGTGTTATTTCATCCCCTTTCCTCCCTGTCCCCCCACAAACCTAAAGCTGTGGTCCCTAAGCTGGAAACATGCATGTTGTGCAGTCAAAAGCTACATCCATGCAGTCACCTGAGAAATGTATTTCGATAATGATTGTGCTGTACGACTAAGTAATATTTACTTATTTCTCTGGTGGCTGCTTAGGCAAATGTACTTGACTCTCTTTTCACATGCCTGATTTCCAGAAAACTTTTATGCCTCAAGTAGCAAATCTGGGGAATAAATTTTTACCTGGATGAGACATGTTGAGCAAACCATTAATCCAAAATTTTGGACTTACTTAATTCTACCTAGTTAAGACAATTTTTTTTTTGTAAAAATTATCCTAGTGAGTCATTCAAGAATGTTGTTCTTCTCAAATAAGTATTGATGAGTGAATTTTACAGATGTGTTCAAGGATGATGCACTCATTTCTTTAAAAAACTCATAGCATAAATTAAACTGGAACAGCTTTTACACCTTATTATTATGAAATGTCCTTTTTATTTCTGCTTATATAGTCTTAAACAAAAATGCATAAACAGGTATTTGAGAGTTCCTAAAGAAAATGCATTAAGTGGTTTTGCACCAACAACTGTAACACAATAGAGTTTACACACAGGAAAATCCATCTTTTCATGTCAAAAAGTTCAACTACTCCAACAAATTCCAGTAATTCTGAGCTTTGAGAATAATCTTAATCAAAACAGAAACCTTGACTTTATGTTATCTATATTCAATGTGGGCTCCCTTAGACTTTCAAGCAAAAATTTCTACTCCACTGAATGGTGGCCCCATAATTTACATCTGGTGCTGGTCAGAGGAGATGGGATGGTTTGTCTGTGGGCCTGACCATTACACCTCAGGGACAGGCCCAACTTGTCCAGGGCTTCTCCATGCAGCTGGTACCAACATTCCTATTTATTTTCTAAGTCTATTATTTTTTAACATATATTAAGGCTAAAGACACATCCTGGCAAATCTTATAATTAACAAAGTAATTAGTTATATGGTCATAATAACCAAACCAACAAACTTATTCATTTATTTCTAATTACAAGTCTAATTTGGAAATGACATTTGTTTGCATTTCATGTTTGCATTTTAATTGTTATATTTCATACCAGGAACCATGAGGAATAGATACTTTCTTGATGGAATTTAGACTGCGTTTCCCTTTCTAATCCTGAAATCCCCTCTATGGTACTTCCACGAGGTGGTCTCCAGCTAGGGCTTGAATTCTTTTTTTCTTTTCTTGAGACAGAGTCTTGCTCTGTTGCCCAGGCTTGAGTTTCAGTGGCATGATTTCAGCTCACTGCAACCTCCACCTCCGGGGTTCAAGAGAGTCTCATGCCTCAGTCTCTCGAATAGCTGGGACTACAGGTGTGCACCACCACACCCAGCTATTATATTTTTAGTAGAGACGGGGTTTCACCACGTTGGCCAGGCTGGTCTTGAACTCCTGACCTCAGGTGATCCACCCGCCTCAGCCTCCCAAAGTGCTGGGATTACAGGCATGAGCCACCGCCCCCGGCCTAATGACAGAGAATTTGCTACCTCATTATTTGCCATAGTTTTAATGAGCTAGTATTTACTGTCTTGTATCCCCATTGAGGGCTAAAACTTATGCATAATCTTCTTTCCACGTAAGAGCCTGCATGAGTGACATCAAGAGGCAACACTTATGCATATTATTAAGAAAACTTCAGTGGACCTGTGTAAGGTTATTTTGTGGTAATATCTTAGAACTTCAGAATATGAGGCCACTAGGCCACAAAGATACACTAAGTCCACAAAGTTTCACAAAGACTTTGTCTCAGAATGTGGCTTCTCTGCTTTGTGTTGCTCTGTGATGGACACGGATGTAGCCTCTAACATCTCAGTGTCTCTGGCTTTCTCTTACTGTGTCTGTCTTTATTTTTCCTGAGCCTTTCTCTTTTTTCACTGTATTTTCCTCCTCTTTCTTGCTCCCTTCATTCTTGAACTTCAGTACCCAAGATTAAAAGATTTCCCCAAATCAAGATCAGATTCATTGAGGCAGAACTGGGATTTGAAGCAGAGTTTAAAAAAAAAAACAGAGACAGAGACATCTAAAGTAAAGTGAGGTTAATACCATTAAAACTTGGGTTTTTCAAACAACAACAACAACACACACAAACAAGAC
This sequence comes from Homo sapiens, assembly GCF_000001405.40. Taxonomy (NCBI): domain Eukaryota; kingdom Metazoa; phylum Chordata; class Mammalia; order Primates; family Hominidae; genus Homo; species Homo sapiens. The sequence goes on from NC_000006.12 coordinate 20,016,989, forward strand.
TTGGAAAAGAGAAAACATAAGCTGTTTGACAGCAGGCTTTGATGCTGATTTTACAAGATGTAAATTCTGCCCAGCACATAAAATAAGTGAGAATAAACTATTCTCTAAGCAGCCCTCTGAGGGTCATACGTGAAACAGGACTGGGAGAAAGCACAGCAGCCCTGACATCACAGATGAAATAAAATGTGTGTTTTCCAGCTGTCTCATTCGTGGCTCCAACAAGAGAGACAACTCTGTATACCCCAAAAGGCCCAGCCAGCAGCAGGGCAGGCAAGGCCCAGGCTCCTTCAGGCCCAGGACATCCTTCCTTAGATCTGGCCCTCTCAGCCCTGTTAGAGCACAAAATGCACCAGACATTTGTTTTGATGATAGACATAATTTGGTAAAAGAATTCAGACTCTGATGTAGAACCAGGCAGTCACGGGAGAAGTTGCGTTGCAGGTGAGCACATGCTGTCATTATCAGAGTGACTTTTTTTTAACCTGTTACTAATAAGCATAGGGGCGTGTGTGTGTTTAATGGTTTCATTTTACTCAAGACAAGATATTTTTCACAAATCTCCAGAATGGAATCATACTCGCTTACAATACTAAAACCAAGAGATAAAAACATTTTATAGCCTTTCAATCAGCGCAAAAGGATAATAACAAAGAATGTGAATGCTATATTCACATTTACAACTTCTTAACAAAGCAGATATTTTGGGAATCTTCATTCATTTCATTTTACAGAATTCATTATGTTTAAACTTTAAGACAGTGATATCTACATGAGAAATATTTACCGTAGACCAGGTATTTGCTAGATATTACCTCTTTGGACTGAACACTCCATAAAGGCAGGGACTAAGCTGAATCTGCAAATCCAACCCTGAGCGCAGTGTTCAGAGAACATATTCACTCCAATATTAGGTCAATAACTGTGTTAACTGATTTCATATTCAGAAACCCTTAATGTAGGTATTTTTACCTTTATTTTATAGATGTTGAAACAAGTTTCAAGCAGTAGTTTAATGCCCTATTCAAGGGCACACAGCTAATCAGTGAGACACGTAACATTTGACCATCTTTACTCAAGATGCCAAACCCCAAGTGAGATCAGAATCCTCACGTTACTAGTCCTCAATAACACAGTACATGCCTTGACAGAATTTAGTATCAATGGCAGATGGTAATGGTCACTATTACAGGGTGCCATTGCATGGTATGAATATCTGCAAGAGAGAAGCTGATGTTCCTTATCATTGTCCTTGCTGTCCCCCAAAACAAGATGGTTTTAGGGTACTTACCATAATTGCCCTCTGAGGCTTTGCTAGCATCAAGTTCAAGTCCAGAAATAAGCAAGATCCTTGCTGGGAATTTTTCTGATCTCTTTCAAACATCTAAGACCATTTGGGAGGAAATTAAGAAGGCAGTAAGGAAAGCACCTTAGAAAAAGGCAGTGAACAAAGCAAATCTTGAGCAAAAAGAACAAAACGAGAAGCATCACACTACCTGACTTCAAAATGTATTACAAAGCTATAGTAACCAAAACAACATAGTATTGGATAAAAACAGACAGAGACCAATGGAACAGAATACAAAGCCAAGAAATAAATCCACACATTTACAGTCCATTGATTTTCCCAAAGGTACCATGAATACACAATGGGGAAAGGACAGTCTTCAATAAACAGTTGTGTTAGTCACTTTTGCATTGCTATAAAGGAACACTTGAGGGTGGGCAATTTATAAAGAAAAGGGGTTTATTTGGCTCACAGTTTTGCAGGCTGTACAAGAAGCATGGAGCCAGCATCTGCTTTTGGTGAGACCTCAAGAAGCTTTTATTTACAGTGGAATGCAAAGGGGGAGTAGGCATTTCACATGGCAAGCGAGGCAGCAAGAGAAAAAGGAAGAGATGCCAGGCTCTTTTGAACAATCAGATCTCACTGTAACTAACAGAGCAAGAATACATTCGTTACTATGGGAAGGATACTAAGCCATCATGAGGCATGACTCAAACACCTTCTACTAGGCCCCACCTCCAACACTGGGGGTCACATTTCAACATGAGATTTAGAGGGTACAAATATCTAAACTATATCAACAGTGTTGGGAGAACTGGGTATCCACATGCAGAAGAATGAAATTAGACCCTTATCTCACACCATACACAAAATCAATTCAAGATGAATTAGAGACTTAAACACAGACCTAAAACTGTAAAACGACTAGAAAAAAAACACAAGGGAAAAAGTGCATGACATTAGTCTGGCAATGATTTTTGTGCATATGATCCCAGAAGCACAGGCAATAACTACCAAGCTTCTGCACAGCAAAGGAAACAATCAACAGAGTGATGAGACAATCTATGGAATGGAGAAAATATTTGCAAAGTACCCATCTGATAAGAGGTTAATATCCAAAATGTATAAGGATCTCAAACAACTCAATAGCAAGAAAACAACCCAACTGAAAAAATAAGCAAAGGACGTGAACAGATCTTTCTCAGAAAAAGATATATAAATGGTCTTCAGATACATGAAAACATGCTCAACATCACTAATCATTAGGGAAGTGCAAATTCAAACCACAATGCAATATTACTTTACACCCATTAGAATGGCTATTATCAATAAGACAAAAGATAACAAGTATTGGAGAGGTTGTGGAGAAAAGGGCACTCTTGCACACTGTTGGTGGGACTGTAAATTACTACAGCCATCTTGGAGAACAGTATGGAGGTTCCTCAAAAAATGAAAAATAGAATGATTTTATGATCCAGCAATCCCACTTCTGGGTATATATCCAAAGGAAATAAAATCAGCATGTCAAAGAGATATCTGTACTCCCATGTTTATTGGCCCACTAGTCACAATAACCAAGATATGGAAACAACCTAAGTGCCCATCAACAGATGAATGCATAAAGAAAACATGTAATACAGACACAATGGAATACCATTCAGGATTTACGAAGGGAAATTAGGCCAGGTGTGATGGCTCACGCCTGTAATCCCAGCACTTTGGGAGGCCGAAGGGAGCAGATCACCTGAGGTCAGGAGTTCGAGACCAGCCTGGCCAACATGGAAAAACCCCATCTCTACTAAAAATACAAAAAATAGGGCCAGGCGCGGTGGCTCATGCCTGTAATCCCAGCACTTTGGGAGGCCGAGGCGGGTGGATCATGAGGTCAGGAGATCAAGACCATTCTGGCTAACACAGTGAAACCCCATCTCTACTAAAAATACAAAAAATTAGACGGGTGTCGTGGCAGGCGCCTGTAGTCCCACCTACTCGGGAGGCTGAGGCAGGAGAATTGCTTGAACCTGGGAGGCGGAGGTTACAGTGGGCCAAGATTACACCACTGAACTCCAGCCTGGACGACAGAGTCAGACTTGTCTCAAAAAAAAAAAAAAATTTAGCCGGGCATGGTGGCGGGTGCCTGTAATCCCAGCTACAGGGGAGGCTGAGGGAGGAGAATAGCTTGAACCCAGGAGGTGGAGATTGCAGTGAGCTGAGATTGTGCCACTGCACTCCAGCCTGGGTGACAGAGCAAGACTCCATCTCAAAAAATAAAATTAAATTAAAAGTAAAACAAAATGAAAAGGGAAATTATGTCATTTGTGACAATGAACCTGGAGGGCATTATATTAAGTAAAATAAGCCAAGCACAGATAGACAAATACCGCATGATCTGACTTATGTGTAGAATCTAAAAGAGTTGAACTCATAGAAGTGGAAATGAGAATGGTGGTTGCCAGGAGCTGGAGGGAAGTGGGAGGGAGAGATGATGGTCAGAGTACAAAGTTTCAATTATACAGGAGGAATAAGTTCAAGAGATCTATTGTACAACATGGTGACTATAGTTAACAACAATGTATTGTATTCTTGAAAATTGCTGAAAGAGTAGACTTTTTAAATTATCAGTATTATTTATTCTGCTTTTGAAATTATAAAATACTTAGCGCTAAGAAGTAGGAAACAAACATATTAATTTAAAGGTGTGGTCCAATGACCACTTACTGTATAAATTCTCAGGACTCTTATTTAAAATGCAGTCTTTCTTAAAAGTATAGATTTTAAACATTCTCAACACACAAAAAAAGTATGTGAGGTAATGTATATGGTAATTAGCTCAATATAGCCATTCCACAATGTATGCATATTTCAAAATAACATGTTGTATGCGGTAAATATATACAATTTTCATATGTCCATTTAAAAATAGGTTTTTGGGGCTGGGTATGGTGGCTAACGCCTGTAATCCCAGCACTTTGGGAGGCCAAGGTGGGTGGATCACCTGAGTTCACGACTTTGAGACCAGCCTGGCCAACATGATGAAACCCTGTCTCTACTAAAAATACAAAAATTAGCCGGGCTTAGTGGTGTGCACCTGTAGTCTCAGCTACTGGGGAGGCTGAGGCAGGAGAATTGATTGAACCTGGGAGGCGGAGGTTGCAGTGGCCCAAGATTGTGCCACTGCACTCCAACTTGGGTGACAGAGCAAGACTCTGTCTCAAAAATAAATAAATAAATAAAAGGAATGAAAAAAGGCAATGAGAAGTAAAAATGGAAAAGTACCAGTTCAAGCATGGCAGCCAAACATCCAAAGACTATCATTTGATAAAAGATTTACCTGAATTAACAGAGCTTTCTTGACATTGATTAGGGTGGTGAAAATGACTGTGGAGGAAAAATTAAGTAGATGATTCTATTTAGGGAAGAAAAGGTGGGAGAAGTGGCATAATAGTCTTCAGGTACCCAAGAAGATAACATATTCATCATTCCCACGGACAGCAAAAATTGAAAAAGGCGAAGGGGAAATAAATCTATCCTGAGGCAGGAGGCATTAAGATTGCCAATAAGAAAACCTAATTTCATCAGTACCCTGGTGATTCTCAACCTGCTTGGGCTTGTCCTTGTTTTTGTTTGTTTTTATGGCAGAGTTTTGAAAATCACCCAAGAGGAAAAAAGACTGGGTGACATGTGTACACACACATTAAAATTAATGTGAATTGGAATTAATTTTGTTGATAGTGTCCCAGCCAGAGTTTTAATGCCAGACTCTGGTTGGTGGGGCAGGAGGGCTTTATGGGGAGGGACATTTGAGATAAGGATGTCCAATGTGTTTTTGTGCCTGAGCTATCACATTTATAGTGGGGCTTTGTAGACAATTCCAGCTCACCCCAACAGTAATTGTTGTCTAGCTTCCACTCACTCCAGGACCTAGCACCTGCCCTTCTGGCAAAGCAAAGCCTCCATGTGCTGTGGGTTTCCTGTGGAAGTCAATTTCCCACTGCTTGAATGTGCCAGGAGGGAGCAAGGTTTTCAGGAAACAGCCCAGACCAGAATCAGGAGAACGTGTGTTCAGAATCTCTGCTCTTCTCTTGGCTGTATGACCTCGAGCAAGCTATGTAGCTTCTCTGAGCCTCAGTCTCCTCAACTGTATAATAGGAAAATAATACCACCTTTATTGTGATGTGAGAATTGCAGGAGAACAAGCACAGAAAAAGGCAGGAGTGTGGAGAACACTTAGATGTTAGCTACCTTCCCTCATCCTCCCCCGCTCCTATTAAGTTACCCATGGGGTCACCGTAGTATAAGGATGACCACTAGCAGATGGCAGTGTCCTCAGGGCTCTGAGATCTTCATTTGCCCTTTTAAAATGAAAATAAAATACCTGGGTCCTACTTTGCCAAGAAAGGAAGGTGAAAAAAAATCAGTCTTCTTAAAAAGTGCAATGGTTTATACAAAGTATACCTGATCAGAGGTAAAATAGTGTGCATATATGTCCCCACCAAATCTCATGTTGAATTGTAATCCCCAGCATTGGAGGTTGAGCCTGGTGGGAGGTGTTTGGGTCATTGGAGCAAATCCCTCATGGTTTGGTTCTGTCCTTGTGACGGTAAGTTCTTTAGAGTCTGGTTGTTTAGAAGGGCATGACACCTCCCCCACCATGCTCTCTCTGGCAGCTGCTCCCACCATGTAAGACACCTGTACCCGCTTTGCCTTCTGCCATGGGTAAAAGCTCTCTGAGGCCTTCCCAGAAGCCATGCAGATGCCAGTACCATGCTTGTACAGCCTGCAGAACTGTGAGCCAATTCAACCTCTTTTCTTTATAAATTATCCAGTCTCAGGTATTTCTTTATTGCAAAGCAAGAACAGCATAATACAAGATGATTTTTTTTTTTCTCTTAGAGACAGGGTTTGGCTCTGTCACCCAGACTGGAATGCAGTGGAATGATCACAGCTCACTGCAGCCTCAAATTCCTGGGCTCATGTGATCCTCCCATCTCAGCCTCCTGAAGAGCTGGGCCTACGGGTGTGCATGACCACATTGGCTATTTAAAAAAAAAGTTTTAGTTGAGACAGGGTCTCACTATGTTGCCCAGGCTTATCTCAAACTCCTGGCCTCAAGCGATCCTCCGACTTCAGCCTCCCAAAGTGCTGAGATTACAGGCATAAGCCACTGAGAGGTGAAGCCAGCTGGGCTTCTGGGACGGGTGGGAACTTGGAGAACTTTTCTGTCTGGCTAAAGGATTGTAAACGCACCAATCAGCACTCTGTGTCTAGCTAATCAGCGGGGGGTTGGGGGGGGACTTGGAGAACTTTTGTGTCTAGCCAAGGCTTTGTAAACTCACCAATCTTCACTCTGTCAAAACAGACCAATCAGCTCTCTGTAAAATGGACCAATCAGCAGGATGTGGGTGGGTCCAGATAAGGGAGTAAAAACAGGCTGCCTGAGCTAGCTGTGGCCACGTGCTAAGTTCCCCTTCCACACTGTGGAAGGGTTGTTCTTTTGGTCTGCGAAGTAAATCTTATTGCCGCTAACTATTTGGGTCCATGCTACCTTTATGAGCTGTAACACTCACCGCGAAGGTCTGCATCTTCACTCCTGAAACCAGCGAGACCACAAACCCACAGGGAGGGATGAACAACTCCGGACACGCCACGTTTATGAACTGTAACACTGACTGCGAAGGTCTGCAGCTTTACTCCTGAGGCCAGCAAGACCACGAACCCACCGGAAGGAACTAACAACTCCACATGCGCCGGCTTTAAGAGCTGTAACACTCACTGTGAAGGTCTGCAGCTTCACTCCTGAAGTCAGCGAGACCACGAACCCACCAGAAGGAACTAACAACTCCACATGCGCCGGCTTTAAGAGCTGTAACACTCACCGTGAAGGTCTGCAGCTTCACTCCTGAAGTCAGCGAGACCACGAACCCACCAGAAGGAGGAAACTCCGGGCACATGTGAACAGCTGAAGGATTATCTCCAGACACACCATCTTTAATAACCGTAACACTCACCGCGAAGGTCCGCGGCTTCATTCTTCAAGTCAGCGAGACCAAGAATCCACCAATTCCGGACACACCACCACACCTGGCTTGAGGGTTGGTAATTAAAAATACCTTTCAGGTTTGAGCTGGAGGACTGACTACCACCACAAACTACCCATCCCCCCTCCTCGGGAGGAAGACGACTTCACATAGATACTAAGCTGCCCGCACTGGGATGTCTGAGGTGTTTGGCAGAAAATGAGTCCAGAAGTTTATTTCGATTTATCCCAGGTGCACTTGTGAGGTGGCCCACTTCCACTCACAGCCAGCCCTGCTTACACGTGCACATGCATTCATACACAGAGGCAGGCACCTTTGATCACAGATGTGGGTGCTTCCATGACACTTCTTCCAGAGGTATCTCAGCAGTGACTGGGTTGCACAAGCATTTCCCTTACCGGATGTTTATAAACGATTCTTTTGCATCTACCACCCCTCAGCATCATGGCTCTGTCCAAAATCAGTTTCCTGATCCTTCACACCAGCATCCTAGAATTCATGTGAGGATAAGTCACCCCCCACACTCACTAAATATTTGTCAAATCTGAATATGCCGATTGCTTAATCAGGCAAAGGCTCCACATGCTTTCTAAGTATGAGGCTCCCTTCTTAAATGTCAACTGGCCAGATCCACCTCCAACAGAGTAGTTATACATTTAATCTCTGCTGATTAAGCCTAAATATGACAAAGAAATATAAATTTACATAATCACAAAAGCATCTATATACAGTTTATAAATTGGGAGAAGGGATGATCTTATTTGTATTCAGTCTATGCACAATGCGTGGTATACCTGTGGGGTCTTAGATTCCCTTGAAGTAATTTTAAGTCTTCCTAGGGATCTGCCACCTACCGGCTGAGAACTGCTCATGTAGCGTGCATGTAATTGTGGGGTTGCTGCTTGCTCCGTGCATCTAAAACAAAAATACAGCGTGAAATCAGTAGAAAGGAACCTGCCTGAAATGATGTGGGCTGAATTATTGTGGCCCACGTTCAAGAGGCCAAGCTCTTAACTGTTCTGGATCCACTGGGGATGATAATACTGTCTCTTTCTCACTGTGCAATGCAAGTAACATAAGCCTTCTTAATTAATGGACACAGCAAGCTTTAAAAAATTAAATACGGTAAATTATCAGTAGACTCACAGTGATGTTAACCTGACTTGAACTCAGAATCTAAACTTGGTTTCAATTTGGCTCATATTTGTCAGTGTTTCTAGGCAGCCTAATTTGGTTTAGATGTTTATTTTTAATTTGGTTCTGGATAGCACTGTGGGATGAACATATTTCCCAAAAGGAAACAAATAATGTTAATTCCAAGGGACTTCACACTTAGCTGCAATGCATTCTCTAGAATACAAGAGATAGTAAAGGGAGCTGAAAATTTGTGTCTATTTTTTCCTTGCCACTCAGTAAAAACTCATTGTGAGGTGGCTTCAAACCCTTTTCCAGGCTCACAAAGCCCTGGTCTGGCCCCTGTTGGTATCTCTCCTGCATTTTCCAATAGGTCCTGCCTTGCTGCGTGTACTCTAGCCATACTGTTCCCCCTTCATTTCTTCATGCTCACAATGGTCCCTCCTACCCCAGGGCCTTTGCACATGCTCCTCGCATATCTTCTTCCATTTCACCCTCTTATCTCCTCCTCATCCTTGAGAACTCAACTCAGGAGCATGTGTCTCTCAAGAAGTTTTCTCTGAAATCCCTAGTGTGGTCAAATCCCTCCTTCCTCTCCAGTATAGCTTCTCCTAACACCTATATCTCTAGCCTTCTTTGCACTTTTCATAGTTTCTACTTTACATTTGTTTGTGCAGTTTTTTGGATGTCTCCCACACTGAACTCCAAATTCCACAAGAGCAGAAACCGTATCTATATTTGTTTACCACTGTTTCCCCAATTCCTGAGACATTGCTTGGGGAGTATAAGACAGCCTCAATAACATGAGGTGCCTCATTCATTTGCTGAATGAACAAATCAAATATATATTGTTATTTTTATATTTTAATAATCATAATTGATAAAGCGAAAGGAAAAAAGTAATACTGAGATATCCTAGTATAGCTAGAGGCAAGGTGGCATGATGGAGAGACTGGATTTTAGAGCAGGAAAAATTAATAATGAGTGTTTTTCAGCTACATGACATTGGGACAATTATTTAACCTCTCTGAGCCTCAGTTTCCCATCTGGTAAATTATAATAATAATGTCTATCTCAAAATATTGTTGTGAAAATTAAATAAGATACAGAAGAAAGAAAAATTGATTGGCTTCCTTCCATTGATTATGTTCTTATATTTTGCTTTGCAAAAGACAAAGTGTGAAATTTGGTAGGACATTAATAGCCAAGGGGACCAGCCTAGCTAGCCAGTGTTCAGAGATCCCCTTCTAACACATTCTACTTCTCCTGGTAGCAGAACGATCAGGTTTTCAATAGCAGGATATTGGATAAGCTTTTTTTTTTTTTTTTTTTTTTTTTTTTTGAGATGGAGTCTCGCTCTGTCACCCAGGCTGGAGTGCAGTGGCGCAATCTCAGCTCACTGCAACCTCCACCTCCCAGGTTCAAGCAATTCTCCTGCCTCAGCCTCCCAAGTAGCTGGGATTACAGGCGTGTGCCACCACGCCCAGCTAATTTTTGTATTTTTAGTAGAGACGGGGTTTCACCATGTTGGTCAGGCTGGTCTCGAACTCCTGACCTCATGATCTGCCCGCCTCGGCCTCCGAAAGTGTTGGGATTACAGAAGTGAGCCACCGTGTCCAGCCCGGGATGAGCTTTCTAAAGACAGACGTACCTCCAGAGCTAGGTGCCATATGATAGGTTTCTCCCTTAATTTAAAGACACTTTGGAACAACTGATTATCAGCAGCCATTTTTATAGATGAACCATCATGGCTTTCAACAGCATGTCTTCATTTATCTCTGTTTCCGTCTTTCTAAGTTAATGTGTCATTTTGGAAAAAGTTTCAAAATAGCTTTGGAAACAACTTTAAAATAGCATCCAGCGATTCCATTTATTTTTAAGTCCGCAAACAGGCCAAACTAACCCAGGCTTGTCGAAAGCAAGGGCAGTGGTGACTCGGAGGAGGGGCTGTGGCCAGAGGGAGCAAGAAGGGGCTGGGGGTGTGCTGTTTATTGAGCTGGGTACTGGTGACTTTCTCTCTCCCGCTATCCAGCCTTTCCCTTCTCTTTCCAATCCTAATCTCTGCAGGAGCACATGTGCACACACATACACACAAACACACACACACTTGTCTTTCAGTCACTCACTGTGATGGCCTGCCAGCTTCTGGTACTCACATCTAACCCCACTTGTTCACAACTCTATAATTTGTCAAAACCCAGACTCTGGAAGTTTCTCCTGTCCTTAGTAAAAATAATTTGTTGTAAAATCTTTAATAACTTCATATCTCAGACCTTCAGTATTCCCTTCCTATACACATACACACACACACTCTCTCTCTCTCTCTCTCTCTCTCTCTTACTCCATCTACCTGGTCCCTCTCCTGGTCCCTCTCGCTAGGATGCAGGCTCTACAGAGCTAGGGATCTTCCTGTCTTATCACCTCTTCCCTTCCGCACCTCCCTCTGGTCCAGCAGTATGTGTGGCACATACTAGGTACATGGTTGATAGTTACTGACTCGGGGAAGAACTGAATAAACATCAAACCCTGTTTTATTCTTGACTCTACTTTTTCTCTCTTACCAAGTCCCCACCCTGTACCCAGGTCTAATATGATGCGTCCTTTCCGGATCCCTGCCTTAACGATCTACCTGTTACACTTTTCTCCCGAGCCTGGTCCTTGACTCACTCTGCCAGCCCCATGAGAGAATTTGACCCTGCTCCACCCTAGCAGCCCTCCCATCTGCTGCCAGTCCTCCAGGAGCTAACTCGGGCCCAGGGTGACACACATGGCCTGTCCCCTCACTTCCTGTGTTTCACCCCGCCCTCCACAGCCCTGCATCTCCTGACGCCCACCAGGTGCCAGTGCTTCCACCTGCCACCTGCCTCTTACTCCCTCACAGTGGGCCCCACCCACTGGCCAAGATGTTCCGCTCACCCCAGCCCTGTGGGTGTGGCCAGCAGCTTCGCCTGCTGAGTCCCCATCCGGCAGCTCTTAAGGTTCCAGGTCTGGCCAATTCCACCTGCCAAGTATCATTCCCCCCAGCTTCCGTCTTCTCCTCGCTCACCGCCCTAGTTCAGGCCCCATCATTTCTCCTGGACTACAGCAATAGCCTCCATCTAGGCCTGATGCTTTTCTGCTATCCACTGTTTTCCAATTGATCACTGTATTACTTTCACAATTAGAAACATAAGCCAGGAAGACATTTAGTGAGCATATATTTTGTGTAATGTATACCGTTAGCTGAAGATGGTCCAAGACATGGCCTCCAGCCCTCTGGGATTCACAGTCTGTGGGGTGATGACACACTCACAGGGGCTATTTGGCAAGGGTGATGACACACTCACAGGGGCTATTTGGCAAGTGCAATTCAGTGCCAGACGGAAGGAAGGAAGCCCTATGTGCTCACAAGATGAAAACAGATGAGAAAACCAGAGACCAGCAAGGCACCTTGGAGAACAGCAGGATGACATATCACGCTGTAAGCTTCAGCATGGCCAGGACCAGGTCCTCCTGTCCTCTCCAGTGGACACGGATGCCCTAGCAGAGTCCCTCATTCAAAGCAGATGCTCAGTGAATATACAGGGAATGAATGAATGACACTAGTACAACCCCTCTTATTTTGTGTAACAGACATATAAGAGAAAACTGAGGCCCCCAAAAGTTAAATGATTTGCTAAAACACCATAAAACTGGTTGGTGCACAACCAAAGCCCAAATCTGCCTCCCAACCCTGGGCCCTTTCACCCACACTGAATGGCTGACCTTAACCTTTCCTTCTCCGAGCTAATGGCCCCAGTTTATTTTATCTTCCCTTTCCATGTCACTTTTATATCCCTTTAAACATATTCCATAATAAAACAGCAGGATATGCAATTCTTAGCATGAAAAAGAAACTATTAGCACTTTCGAAAAGTTGATTATAAAAATACAGAGCATGATGTTTTTATTTAGAATGCTGCTTTTGTATTTAATTACTAAACATGCAATAGATATAACCGCATATGGTGCCATCTAGCTGGAAAGAATTCTTTACACACTTTGATGTTCTCCCGTCAACTTTTCTCATCTTGACAGGTTATCATGAACTAAAACATGGCATTTTTCCATAAAAGATGTCTGTATCTCTGTAATATACTATATAATCCATTTATTGTGAGCTTTCAAAGCACACACGTAAACATGTTTGTGTATTTTTATTGTAGTAAAGTATATGTAACACATTTTCCATTTTAACCATTTTGACATATGATTCATTGGCATTAAATACTCTGACAATGTTGTACAACCAACAGTACTGTCCATCTCCAGAACTTTTTAATCATCGTCAACAGAAACTCTGAACCCCTTTAATTATAACTCCCTATTCTCCCTCCCTTCAGTCCTGGAAATCATCATTCTATTTTCTGCTTCTGTGGATTTGGCTACTCTAGGTAGCTCATATAAGCGGAATTATACGCATTTGTCCTTCTGTGTCTGGCTTATTTTACTTAGCATAATGTTTCCCAGTTTCATCCATGTTGAAGCATGTCTTTTCTTTTTAAAGCTGAATACTATTTCATTGTGTGTATATACCTCATTTTGTTTATCTATTCATCTTTATCAATAGATGAATTTAAGTTGGTTCTACCTTTTGGCTCTTGTGAATAATGCTGCTATAAACATTAGAGTACAAGTATCTGCTGTGTCTCTGATTTCAATTCCTTTAGCAAATACCTAGCAGTGGAATTGCTGGATCATATGATAATTCTATATTTAGCTTTTTGAGGTACTGTGACACTGCTTTCCAGAGTGGCTGCACCATTTTACCTTCTTACCAGCAATGCATGAGATCCAATTTCTCCACATCCCCACCAACACTGCTCATTTTCCACAGTTGTTGTTTTAATAATCATCATCATCATGGGTGTGAAGTGTTGCCTGTGTGTGTGTGTGTACACATGCACGCGCGTGTGTGTGACAGGGAGAAAGGAGCCGACTCTCTCGGGGCTGGAAAAGAACTCTATCATTACATCCTGAGCCCTATCCTCTTGAGAAGGCCAGGACCTCAGTCCCCAGAGAGAGGGTAGAACTCTTGATCTCAGCCCACGTGCTATGAGCAAGTTCACAAGAGTTTACAGAAGCATGTTAAGCTGAGAAGCTAGCATCCTTCCAGGCTTTTTCAAACTCACTTCCTAAAGATTCTTCAGAGTCATGAAGAAAAGGAGAGAGGGAAGCAGGGAAGAGGAGACAGGAGAAGTAGGGTGTACATCAGAGCTCAGCATGGCCAAGGAGAGGGAAAGTGTCCAAGTATCATTGTTAAGGGAAGGGATTGGGCTTCTCTCCCTGAGTTACCAAAGCAAACTGTACAACAGCCAGGGCCCAGCCCAGACACAAAGATAGAATCAGATATTAACAAGGGAGAAATTCAGAATCTGGGTAAGGTTACCAGGGAGGTCAGAGCCTCTAAGATTAGGATCTGGAGTGAAATAGAGACAAAACAACAGGAAACAAGGTCAAAAACCGGAAGGCTTGATTTTGGCTTCTAAATTGGGATCGGTTACACAAAAAATTAAATTCAAAAAAAAATTGAGGAGGCAGTAGGGTTCACGGTTACTAAGTCCAGTTAAGTGCAAAGTAGCAGATTGGCAGCATCGTACTGGCTTCCCCAACATCCCTGGCTCTATCCAGTTGTATATCTTCTTCCACTCAACCAATGGCCCTTCCCAAAGGCTTTGCCACTGTCCCCCATTGGACTATAACACACTCAAGGTCTTTCCAAGTAGTCATTAGACAAACCATACCATTGATTCTCCAGTTTTTCAGTGGGGTAAGCAGAGAAATCAGAGCAAACAGGTAAGTCAGAGCTTCCAACCCCAGATGGATCTGCCCCACCTCTGAACTAATATGGGAAAAGTTTTAAGACTGGTCGAGTGGGGTCGTGGACCCTAGAGGTACGTTAATAGAGAATTTGGAAACTTTGTGTGGTAGGTGGGCTTCTCAGATGAATCCCAAGACCCCCACCTCCTGATGTCCATGCCTGCATCTGTATCATTTCCTCCTCTTTGAGCATGGGGGAACCTGTGGATATGAGTGATATCACCCCAGGCAAAAGGGAGATTCTCCTGGGTGGGCCTGGCTTAATCAGGCGAACCTTTAAAAATGTGAAGCATCAGAGACAGCTTCCCCCACTGGCCTGGAGGGAAATGCATGCTGTGTTGTGACCCTCCTAGAGAGACCCCATGACAAGGAACTGCACGCAGCTTCTGGCAGCTGAGAGCATTCCCCAGCCTTGGGATGTGCTTGGAAGATGACCCTAAGCTTCAGATGAGATCATAGCCTCAGCTGACACCTTGATATCAGCCTGGTAAGAGTATGAGTAGAAGATCCAGCCTGGGCTTCTGACCTTCAGAAAGCGTGGTTAAGTGTGTAGTCCTGCTACACAGCAGTAAAAACTAATCCACCTCGCCTACCTCATGGAAGGCAGCAATAGTTTGTTTTGTTTTTTGTTTGTTTGTTTTTGAGACGGAGTATTGCTCTTGTTGCCCAGGCTGGAGTGCAATGGCGTGATATTAGCTCACCTCAATCTCTGCCTCTCGGGTTCAAGTGATTCTCCTGCCTCAGCCTCCTAAGTAGCTGGAATTACAGGTATGCGCCACCACGCCCAGCTAATTTTGTATTTTTAGTAGAGATGGGGTTTCTCCATGTTAGGCTGGTCTCGAACTCCTGACCTCAGGTGATCCACCTACCTCGGCCTCCCAAAGTGCTGCTGAGAGGTGACAGCATGCTGGCAGCCCTCGCTCACTCTTGGCACCTCCTCAGCCTGGGCACCCACTCTGGCCGCGCTTGAGGAGCCCTTCAGCCCGCCGCTGCACTGTGGGAGCCCTTTTCTGGGCTGGCCGAGGCCTGAGCCGGCTCCCTCAGTTTGCGGGGAGGTGCGGAGGGAGAGTCGCAGGCGGGAATTGGGGCTGCGCGCGGCGCTTGCGGGACAGCGCGATTTCCGGAGGGGCGTGGGCTCGACACTTGGAACGGCCGGCCGGCTCGGGCAGTAAGGGGCTTAGCACCCGGGCCAGCAGCTGCGGAGGGTGCGCCGGGTCCATCAGCAGTGATGGCCCGCCTGCGCTGCGCTCGATTTCTCGCCGGGCCTTAGCTGCCTCCCCGCCGGGCAGGGCTCCGGACCTGCAGGCTGCCATGCCTGAACCTCCCCGCTCCACCGCCGTGGGCTCCTGTGTGGCCCGAGCCTCCCCTGCAATCGCCGCCCCCTGCTTTACAGCGCCGGGTCCCATCCACCGCACCGCGCGCGCGGGACTGGGAAGCAGCTCCACCTGCGGCCCGGTGTGGGATCCACAGAGTGAAGCCAGCTGGGCTCCAGAGTCTGGTGGGGACTTGGAGAACCTTTATGTCTAGCTAGGGGATTGTAAATACACCAGTCAGCACTCTGTATCTAGCTCAAGGTTTGTAAATGCACCAATCAGCACTCTGTGTCTAGCTCAGGGTTTGTAAATACACCAATGGACACTCTGTAGCTAGCTAATCTAGTGGGGACATGGAGAACTTTTGTGTCTAGCTCAGGGATTTTAAACGCACCAATCAGCACCCTGTCAAAACGGACCAATCAGCTCTCTGTAAAACAGACCAATCGGCTCTCGGTAAAATGGACCAATCAGCAGGATGTGGGTGGGGCCAGATAAGAAAATAAAAGCAGGCTGCCCAAGCCAGTAGTGGCAACACGTTCAGGTTGTATTTTACAGTGTGGAAGTTTTTTGTTTTGTTTTGTTTTTGTTGTTATTGTTTTCTTTCTCTTTGCAATGCGTTAAATGCTCCTTACTCTTTGGATGTACACTGCTTATATTGAGGTGCAACATTCAACATGAGGGTTTGCAGCTTCACTCCTAAGCCAGGGTAGATCACGAACCCACCAGAAGGAAGAAACTCTGAACACATCTGAACATCAGAAGAAACAAACTGCGAACGGGACATGCTGCGTTTAAGAACTGTAACACCGCGAGGGTCCGTGGCTTCATTCTTGAAGTGAGTGAGACCAAGAACCCAATTCTGAATACACTGGGATTACAGGCATGAACCACAGTGGCTGGCTGGCAGCAGTAAGTTTAACCTGAACCTCGAGCTTCTTTGATGTGCTGTGATGCAGTACAATAGATCAGCACACACATCATATATTCATAAATACACACTAGGCCTTAGTGTGTCTTCTCAACCCTCAGAGACGTTTAAGTGACTTGCTCAGGGAAATGCTACCAATTGCAAATATGGTGGTGATTCTTAATCATTACTATATCTGAAAGTGAAAAGTCAATGGTTTAAGAATCCAGAGCACTCAAAAACAATCTTAAAACACCATCTTGCGAAAGCCTCTCTGGGACAAGAGGAAACTGAGGCATGGAAGATTAGGGAGTTTGCAGTGTTCTTTCCAATTCTAGGAGCCATGTGAAAGCAGCAGGTGCAGCCCTGCAACAGATAACCATGCGCATGCCTTGCCGTACTAAACAAATCAGCATGCACCAAAAACCATTGCCTGCCCACTGATCCCCAAAACAAAACTCAACAGCAAGATGCATCCAAGATACAAGAGCTCCCCTGACAGACAACTAAGTTATTCCCAGCTCATAGGAGACAGTTATGTGGCCACTCATGGCCCGGGCTTTCTTCTTTGCAGGAAGCCGGGGCTACATTGAAGGAGAAAGTGGGGAGGGCTGGGGGATAGAAAGGGGCAGGCTTGTAAGGCCCTTTTTTTTGGAAGCTTAGAAATAAAATATTGCATCTTTTGTTAGTCAAGGACCTTTCGTGGAGGTTGATGTGTGCCAGTCAGATCTCAGGATCTCGGGGGGGGGGGGGTGTGTGTGTGAGTGTGTGTGTGTGTAACCGAGTAGCCTGTCAGAGCCTCATTTTCCAGAATGCAAGTTCTCCCCCTAACTGATAATACTCTAAATAACAGGTGAGTGACTCCTGGCAGGAAGGAGATTATCTGACCTCATTGTTTGCCTTTTTCCCCCCTCTTTGTTCTTCACAAATAAAGGTTTTTTAATAAACTGAAAGGTCCTCCGCTCTTGCCTGATGATAAAATGAAAGGAACCAGTGAGGTATGGTACAACGTGGCAGCAAAAAAGGAGAAGCTCATCAGAAAACAACAAAGGTGCAAGTTAAAGATAAGGCAGCCGTCAGAGATTAATCCTGCCCGCCTGATTGTTTTCTTTAATACCAAAGCCTGCAATAGCAAGCGATAAGTTTGCTGAGTAATTTGGTTTTTGGTGAGGAAATAAAATTCAGGTAGGCCCCATAATTGATTTCCCTTTTTTTAGTTTTCTAAACATTAAACACCACCACCACAAAGCCCTGCCTTGGCTACACTTTTTTCTTCCAGCTGCGTTGCCAGTGTGCTGTGCTCTTGACCACCCCCCACCCCTACCCTTTCTTGATCCCAGAATTTCCAAAAGGAGGGAGGAGAAAGAAAAGTTCCCTCTCTTAGCAACATCAGGTGCAGTTCACGTGAAATCCTTAAATTCATGTCTGTTACAGACTAAACTATGCCCCTCTCCCTCACAGCAAAAATTTGTTAGAGTCCTGACCCCTCATACTTCAGAATGTGACCTTATTTGGACATAGGGTCTTTGCAGAAGCAAGGAGAGAGGCATGGAACAGATTCTTTCTCCGAGTCTTCAGCAGGAACCAACCCTTCTCTTTAAAGAGGTAATAAATAAATTAAAATGAAGTCAATAAAATGGGCCCTAATCCAGTATGACTGGTGTCCTTGTAAGAAGAAGAGATGAGGACAGAAACACACACAGAGAGAAGACCATACGAGGACACAGGGAGAAGATGGCATCTAAAAGCCAAGTGGAGAGGCCCCAGGAAAAACCAACCCTGATGACACCTTGATCCTGGACTTCTGGCCTGCAGAACTAGAAAACAATACATTTCTGTTATTTAAGCCACACAGTACCAGCCAGTTGGTGCCACCTTGTTGTGGTAGCCCTCAGAAACTGACACAATATTTATCTTTAATATTTGCATGCAGCAAGAAACCCTCACCTTTAACTTGAATATCACGTTAATCCAAGTTCTCATTTTCTTCACATCCTAGACCCCGTCAGTTTCTTACAGCATTAAGCACATTATTAAAGAAGTCAGGGGGAAGTGGAACCTTAAAGCAAATCCCTATCCCCTCCTCCTCTGTGAGAACAGATCGGAGTGCCTTCCCTCCTAAAACATCAGGGCATTTATGGACACGGACACTAGTCACAACGTCCCTTGCCACATCCACAGACTCAGTCACTGCCCCTTCATTTTCCTGGTGTGTTGGAAGCCCAGAGCAGTCACCTGGCTGATCACAGTGTGTACTGAGACAATGGCTTGGAGGTGGGGTGGCACCAGAAGTCCCAAATGTCAGGCAAAATGCTCGCTCTCCAGTGCCTCATCAGAGCATTACAAAATCCATGTTAGCTCTTTTAGACCAGAGCTTTGCACTCTTCAAACTTTAATTGTGCAGGAATGAATCAACCTGGAAACCTTGTTAAAATGTTGATTCTGATTCGGGAAGTCTGAGCCAGGGCCGCAGGGTCTGTGTTTCTAACAGGCACCTGGTGATGCCGACACTGAGCTGGTGCCTGAACTGCACCTAAGGTGCAAGGTTGCAGATCATCATAGGGTAGAGGTGTGGGGAAGGTGTTTTGGGGAAGGGGGTCCCTGTGGTTGCTCAGAGGCAAAGCTTTAAGTGGCCACAAAACTCCACAGATTCAGAGGTCTCTGGGTTGGGGAAACCTTTAGCAGGGTCAGAGGGGAAAAAAAACAGAACAGGAGCCATCAGTGAGGATGAGGCTGGGAGGCTCTGAAATGAGAAAGTGCCGCATGCACACGTGCACCAGGAAATGTGCTAGTAGGCAGCGCCAGCATGAGCAGAGCCTTATTTATTGTGACAAAATGAACAGCCCCCAGGTTGCTCATCCAGCAGCTAATTTCTCATCTTATCTATTATGTGAATGAGATGGGAAAACAGTTTCCTGTTTCTCACAGATATCACTGACATGAAAGATACTCAGCGAATTCCCTGGAAAGCCATGCAGTCACATCCATCCACCGGCTTGCTGGTTTCAAGGGGAGGAATTGATGCAGCCAGGGCGGCTCCCAGATGCAGAAGCGAGTAAAGAGGCTTCTTTGCAGATGCCCTCATGTTCATATCACCTTGGAGAATGACTGAGGAGCTGACAGGTCTTTTTCTGCTGTAATATTCCATGGCAGATATTCCTTGAGGTCCAAGTGATTGTCCTGGGAGTGGCTTTGAGGCTTTCCTTGGTCTATTTCCAAGCTGGCTGTGTGACGGGGTGAAGGATCCCCAGCTGGAAGGGAGGCCCAGCCGGCAGCCACCACCTCCTCCTCCAACCTGTCCTCCCATCCACGCAATGAGCTCTAACAGCCTCACACCCCCACCTTCCCAAAGCGGCAACAATCATGAATCTTCCCTGGGAGAAGGATGGTGCCCTGTTCTGGTATAACCCAGAGTACCTGAGAGAAATTATTAGCATTTGTTTCAACTCTGTCTTACTGACAATGAGGAAACTGAGGTCCAGCATGGTGGGCAGATTTGCCCAAGGTCACCTAGCAGGTAAACAGTTGAGCCTTTTGGAGCCATGCATTGATCAAGGTCTGGTGAAAAGGCAAGTCTTAGATAGGAATCAATGTTGGGTGTAGGAATCTAAAGAGAATGGATACCCAGAAAAATCCTCCTGACTCTGGGGGTTCATGTTTTGCCCTGGAAATATAACACATCGGACAACAGTTTCTGATGGAGAGACACAGAAGTGGAGAGTCCACAAGAGGGGTTCCCAACTTGGGCCACTTATTAACATCATTGGGTGGTGAGGGGGAGTAAAAATGCTGATGCCTGGGCCACACTGCAGAAAACCGAGTTTGAATCTCTCAGGCCTCACAGCCCCTGTGAGCTTGTTAGAAATGCAAACTCTCAGACCCCACCTGGCCTGCTGAATCAGAACCCGGGTGATTTCTGTGCTCGCTGAAGTTTGAGAAGCACTGCTTGAGCTAAACAATGGAACCACCTGATGTCTGGGTCCCACCCCAGGTCAAACACATTGGAATCTCCAGACAGTGTGGCCTGCCATGGGTGGCTTTTAGAAAGGCGAGGACCATGGAGAAGAGAGTAGGGCACAAGATATGAGTTTAAAGGCCTCAGAGACAAATTGACCTGAAATCACATTTTGCAGAGTCCCCAGGCACATTCAGGAAAAGAAGTGTGGATGAAGACATGGAGGCTGGGGAGGCCTGGTCCTGCCTCTGCCTCTGTCTGTCCCCCAGCAATATGGCCTGGAACAGACCACGGCTGACTCCAGAGATGAAGATCTGAAGTCTGATGATTCTGTGTCCACCTTGAAACAGGGCAAGAGCAGAAAAATGACTTTCAAGTCCCAGTGTACTATGCTGGGTAAGTAGGAGTAGTGCTATCGTTGGAATGTTTGTGTCCCTCCAAAATACAGGTGGAAATGTAATCCCCATTGCAGTTGTATTAAGAGGCGGGACCTTTAGGAGGCAACTAGGTCATGAGGACTCCTCACTCATGAATGGAATTAAGGCTCTCATAAAAGAGGCTTTATATGGGTCCCTTTTTGCCCTTCTGCCATGTGAAGATGTTAAAAACACACTATCTTAGAAGAGAGTCAACCCTCACCAGACACAGAGACCACCAGCGTCGTGATCTTGGACTTCCCAGCCTCCAGAACAGTGAGAAATTAACATACCAATTATAAATTACCCAGTCTGAGATATTTTGTTACAGCAGCACAAATGAACTAAGACAAGAAGATTATGAGGTAGGCAGTACATAAGAGATGCTAGAATTAGAACTAGGTTCTAATAGTTGTGTCACAGCTGTGTGACCTTGGGCAAATTCTTTAACCTCTAAGCTTCAGTTTTGCTCATCCGTTAAATGAAGAAAATAAACACTAATTATGAAGTCATTGTGACCTGTCAGGAACTAAACGTTTAAAGCTCTTGACAAAATTTCTGGTACCTACACTCAAAAACAGTAATAAATGGCAATTCAATTTCAACCCCATGGTCATTCTGAGTAAGATTTTAAGTTAGTAGAAGGCAGATGAGATGTGAACAATAACCTCTTTGTAGAATGAAAACCTAATGTCATGGTTTATAAATAACTCTCCCAGCTATGGATACTGTTATCTCTGTCCCCTCCAGGCAAGCCTTGTTTAATCCACCACAGTGGTTTCCTACGAATGTATATATATATATAAAAAGAACAATGATAAAGAACATACACAATAATGTGGGGAGGCATGCAAATCAAAAAGGCATTAACTGATAGGGAAAAGGGAGCAAGGAACTAGGTTGAAATTATGTGGAAGGGCCTCTAGATAAATACGACAGTGAAAAGACAACTAATTGAAGAATGAGAGAGTTTTCTTAACCAGTGCTAGCTGAGTAAAAATATAATTATCTTTGATTCATGAAGATTGCTACAATATGACTCATTTACCAAAACAGTTACTAGCAGAATTACACTTGTTACTGTGAGAAGACCACGTGGGAGCGAGGGCTGTAGTAAATACCAAATGTGTTTGGTATTTCACAATGGCACCTGGAAGGAGAGTTCTGTTTCCTGCTCAGCGGTTCTCTGTGATGCTGCTGCTCTCAGCGGGCCATTTGTGATCAGCAGGAGCACAGAGACCTTCCTGTGAGATGGGAAATGCTAATGTAAGTGCTCCTAACCAGGTTCTGGGAGAATCTCAACTTTCCTAGCCTGAACACACACCATCTAGATCCCAAACTTCTTCTTTTCTACCGGTGAAGCCAGAGCTCCAAGGCCACTGTGCCCTTAATTTTTAATCATATTGAGTTGATGTCTCTTTTGCCAAAGACTGCACACACACGGAGAAATTAGAAGACATTCATGACTGTTTATTAGTTGTCTGATGGCTCTAAAAAGGGGAAACTTACCTTTTTCCAATCAAATATTTTCTCTCTACCTCGACTGTGGTAGGCTTGGGTGTTCATCCCATAGAACAGAGCTGCTTAAAGGTTGAAATCTTCAACAATTATGGGAAGCTGACTGCTGCGATGATGCACTAAAATGGGTGGAAGACAGTGGGCAGGGCACCCTCAGAGGTAGAGGGACCTCACAGGTGTTCTGGCCCAAACATCCTAAGGCCAGATGTGGCTCTAGGGAGTACGTGTATGTAAGTGATAAGGACAGCCATGTGTTCTATAAAAACAGAATGAGGCCGGGAGCAGTGGCTCACGCCTGTAATCCCAGCACTTTGGGAGGCCGAGGTGGGCGGATCATGAGGTCAGGAGATCGAGACCATCCTGGCTAACACTGTGAAACCCAATCTCTACTAAAAATACAAAAAATTAGCCGGGCGTGGTGGTGGGCGCCTGTAGTTCCAGCTACGCAGGAGGCTGAGGCAGGAGAATGGTGTGAACCCAGGAGGTGGAGCTTGCAGTGAGCCAAGATCGCACCACTGCACTCTAGCCTGGGTGACAGAGCGAGACTACCTCTCAAAAAAACAAAAAACAAACAAACAAACAAAAAAAACAGAATGAAAGGCACAGGAAGAGATAAGATGCATTTCTCACACAGCGGAAGAGCTCTGCAGGGAGAAATGTACAGAAAAAGGCAGCAGCAAACGGTCCTGCAAGCACAAGAGTAATGAAAATAAATACAGCTTACAAGCCTAATGAAGATCATTTCAGAGCAGGTTGAGACCCTAACTGATACAAATGAGGATCATTAGCTTCCCTGGGCTCTCCTGTTCAGTGTAGGACAAGAACCGTGCAAATAGAAGGAGATGACCAGGGCTATAATGGTAAAATTATAACCCCACGCCAGACCTGGGTCTTTTAATAAGAAGAGCCATGTTCATCTCCAGTCTCAAAGCCACTTGAGGGCCTGAAGACCATCAATATAGATGGCGCTTAGCTGTTCTCATCCGAGGATAACAAATGTTTTCAGAACCACCCACTTCTCTTCCCCCGCAATACGCATAAAGAAGATTCCAGATATGATTCTCTCTCAGGCTGAGATCAACCACACTGTTTATGATTATGAGGTGCCTACTACATGCTAGGCCTTGCACTAAGTACTTTGCTTGCATTATTTCATTTCATCCCATCCACAGGCCTGGGAGGTAGGTATTATCAATACTCCCATTTTAATGATAAGGATAACTAAGGTTCAGAGAGATTGGGTAACTTGCCCAAGGTCAAAAAGTAAGTGACAAGTCAGAGATTAAAATAGAAAGCCAGCTTTGATAGGTTGTTTTTAGGATCAACTGTTGTGGAGAGGTGACAAAAATGAAAATGAGCAGGCATGTCACAGCAAACACGAAAGGAAGAATTATTCATGAAGAGAAAGGACCTGTTCCAGGGCCCAGAGACAGAAAAGAACTTGGGAGGTGTGAGGACCTTCTAAGTGTCTATTGCTGACTAATTATCAGCCCCCACGATGTGACTTAAGATATCAGGGGCCTTGATTCTCCTTCATGTGGCCTCTCCACATGGCTGCTTGTGCTTCCTCCAGCATGGAGGCTGTGTTCCCATGGGGATGTGATGGAAGCTACTAGTCTTTTTAATGGCAAAGCACGGAACTGGCACAGTGGTACCTCCACCATATTCTTTTGGTCGACTCGGTCACAAGCCCTGCCCTAATTCAGTGGGAGGAATGACAAAGAGTTAAACAAAACAAAACAAAACAAAACAAAACCACTGTGGTGGAATCACAGTTGACTAAGGATGAAGGAGCAAGAAATGGAAGGGTTGTGGAACAAGGTGATGGGAGAGAGATTTTGCAAGCCTTTCTTGGCCATGTGAAGGACTTTGGATTTCATGCTAAGTGCAGACGAAACCTTTACTCCTTTTCCACCCTTGCTCTTATCTCAACTGTGGTAGAAGACTAATACAACTAAGGACTGGAGGGATTTCATCTTAAGTCCACAGAGCAAATCTACATGCACATAAGATGCATCTAATTCAGGCATTTAATGATTGTAAGGTATTAGTAAACTATCATCTTCAAATATAAGCTCCCCCAAAATACCATCTGTTGCTGAGGGACACACATAACATACCAGATTTCCAAGCTTCAGGAACAATGCCAATATACCTCCCCAGGTGTCGTGCCAGGTACTGCCACACCATGTTCATATGCAGAATGACTGCTGCTTGGTTTCTTGCCTACCCATCACCCTCACATACTTTATACCCTTGAACTCAAAAAAGCCCACAGCCCTTCAGTTTGTTAATTATCAGCCAGTCTGTCTGTATATAAACACTGCTTTGAGGTCAGGGAATTTTGCTGTGCCCGTGCAACTGAATCACTGGGTCCAATCTTCATGGTTAGAGAACTGGGTTTCTTGGTGCTAGTTAGAGTCATTCGGTGAGGAAGAAGTGAAGAGGAATAGCTTCCCTCTATTGCTAAAGCCAGAACTTCTCTGTACAACAAAGAATGTAAACGTTATAATACACTGGAGAGTGGGGTGATGCTACTCAACATATTAAATACCTTCTGTGCTGAGGTATCAAGACAAATCGGACAGACTCCAAATTCTTGAGTTGCTAAGAATAGAGAGAGGAATTATCCATAAATATGTTTTTTTCAATACAATGTAGTAAGTATAGTGATACAGGCATTCAAAGGGTACAATGAGATCCCAGAATTGGGGGCTCTAGCTGAGTTTTTGGGAGTGGTGAAGCAGGATAGGTTTCATAAAGGAGGCAATTTGGGACCAGAATTTAGGAGGAGTGGCAGTTAATAAAAGTATTTCAGGCAGACAAGAAATTGAAGAAGAAGAAAAAAGGCTCATTTATGTGAGGCAGCTAGGTAAGTGTCCGTTTTGAGGAGGAGGGTTGCATAAGAGGGCAACATTATTGGAATATAACTTTTTTTAAAACGAATCCTGCCTCAGGTTTATTTGTACAAATAGCACAGGAGGACACCAGCCCCATGCAGACGGCAGCCCAGGGGGTCACCCCAGTCCTTCTGTCCTCATATTGGCAGACAGAGATCTCTACCCTGAAGCCTTTGTAGGGGCCTGGGCACCTTTGGGAGCCTGAGTTGGAACTGAAGCTGGAGCTGCAGCCTGGGCCTTGATTTGGACCTGGGCCTTGGTTTGGTCCTGGGCCTTGGCCTTTGGCTGGCACAGCCTGAGCCCTTTGGCAATGCAGGCACAAGCACACGTCCAAAATTTGGGGTAGGCAATGTAGGCAAGTCAATTGAGCTCACAGCTGACACCCTTTGGGATCTTGGGCTTAACCTCTTTGGGCTTTACGAGGGCCTCGATAGCCTTGGCACATGTACTCACGGCCTTGGCACTGTCGGCCTGCATCTTCTTTAGGCCCTTCTTCTTGTGCTTCTTGGTAAAGCACATGTTCCCCAGGAACTTGGGGTCCACCCCCTTAAGAGATTTGTATCTTTGTGATAGGGGTTTCTTGATGACATTTCTGTGCCATTTTCGGGACTGGTTGTGTGTGGTGTGGTTCTTGGACTTGGCCATGTCTGCACCTTAAGCCACAGCTCCTGAAGCACCTAGAACCAGAAGTTGAATATAACTTTAACACAAGTTGTGAGAAGGGACAGAAAGGAAAAGATAAACAGTGGGCAGATCACAGAGGGCTGTGTATACTATATTAAATAACTTCGTATTTATGCTGTAACTATCAATGATTTTAAAGGAGAATGACTTGATCAGATTTTTGTTTTAGATAAATTATTCTGGTAGAAATATAAAGACAGATAATATTGAGCCAAGACTGAAAGGAAGAGAGACCTGTAGGAGGTACTGACTCAATAGTGCAGGTTTGTTATATAGGTAAACTCATGCCATGGGAATTTGTTGTACAGATTATTTCATCACCCAGGTACTAAGCTTAGTGCCCAATAGTTATCTTTTCTGCTCCTCTCCCTCCTCCCACCCTCCACCCTCAGGTAAGCCCCCGTGTCTGTTGTTCCTCTTTTTGTATCCATGTGTTCTCCTCATTTAGCTCCTACTTTTAAGTGAGACCATGCAGTATTTGGTTTTCTCTTCCTGCATTAGTTTGCTAAGGATAATGGCCTCCAGCTCCAACCATGTCCCTGCAAAGGACATGGACTCATTCTTTTCTATTGCTGCATAGTATTTCTTGGTGTATATGTACCACATTTTCTTTATCCAGTCTACCATTGATAGGCATTTAGGTTGATTCCATGTCTTTGCTGTTGTGAATAGTGCTGCAATGAACACGCATGTGCATGTGTCTTTATGATAGAATAATTTCCATTCCTTTGGGTATATACCCAGTAATGGGATTGCTAGGTCAACTGGTAGTTCTGTTTTTAGCTCTTTGAGAAATTACCATACTGATTTCCACAATGGTTGAACTAATGTGCACTCCCATCAACAGTGTATAACCATCTACTTTTCTCAGCAACCTTGCCAGCCTCTGTTATTTTTTGACTTTTTAATAATAGTCATTCTTACTGGTGTGAGAGACCTGTCTTATTAATAAGATAAGGAAATCTAATAGAAAAAGGGAACAATTTGTGACACAAGATATAGAATGATATGAGGGGTTGGAATCAAGGGGTGGTCTTTAAAACTTGGAAGAGGAACCTTATCCTCTGAGACTGGTGAAGGAAGAGTTCAGACCTCCCTATGATAGGATGTGAGGAGCAGGAAGGAAGTGCATATCTGGCAGTATTCCATTCCTCCCTTTTTCTGAGCCCAGGGTGAAAGTATAAATAGATACTCACATGTCTATATCCAAATATTTAAAATTTATCAGTCAAGCAAAAAGTAGTTAAAATATGTTAGATATGTATGTTCAATAGAAAATGCCTATCTTGACAGATATACCTTCTTTAAAATTTGGGAAGCCAACTTTATTTCGAGTTTTGGACTCCTCGGAGTTCTATGCTAGAATATAGAGACCTAAGAGAGCCACCCCAGCCCATGATCCAATTCTCTTGTCTTCCTACTTCTGGCCCCACAATATACCACGAGAGACCTACAAGGACACATGTAGACACCCAAGCCTGCAAGCCCAGACTCAGGCCACATCCCCCTGGAAATAGCCACTCCTTGGCCACCCCTTGAGCTTAGAGATGCATCCACAGTGGGTTCAGCCATCCTTGGGGGAAAAGATTCTGGAAGAAGTTCATGGAGGACCTATAAACAGGCTCATGGCAATCTGTGCAAGGAATTCTGAGGTTCTGGGTACTCATAGCATAATGTAGAAAAGGAAATGTGGTTCTGGGTGGACATGTCCCCCTTAGATTCACACACCCCTTGCCCTGTATGAAGGAGCTCAGCTATGAGGCCAGAATGATGCTCTCTGAAGATCAGGGCACAGGGCAGAAGCTCCTCTTGCCCAGGCCTAGGGGTGGTACAGTCCAGTAGCCTCTATGTTCTTGACGGAACCCAAAAACAAAAAAACAAAAAAAAAAGAAAGAAAGAAAGCTAAAGTTATTAGCCAACACTGAAGTTGGTTGGGGATCCATCCAGAGGAACCAATGCTACCTCTCAGGTTTTGTTCTTTTAACTCCCGGGAAACAGTATCCAAGTAGTTTGTCAGGAGAATTTGTTTTTTCTCTTGAAGTAGAAGCACTCACCAGTCAAGCAAGCATGGATTAGAATCCCTGAGGTACTACAGCTTACAGGCATTTGCTTGGTAGATTCTTTTTCCTACTCACTGCCAATTTGAGTGGACTCATAAAGTTTGCTTTGTGCCACAAGCATGAACTGGAAGGGCAAAAAAAAAGACATCACCACAAAACTCACTTCAAAGCCAGAGAGCTCTTGAAACTGATTTCATCTCAGGAGTCCCCAGCAGTGCTGAAAGCAGGTCACCTTCAGAAAGAGATCTGTCCACCATGAAGGCTGCAGAGCTTTCATGAAGAGCAGGTCTTCTCCCCTGACATAAAGGTAAATCTAGGTGTAAATGGCATCACTGGCCAACAGAAACCGGGGCCCACAGAAAGAGGAATGTCCAGAGGGCATTTTTTAAAATCTTAATATTAATTTTCTTTCCAAGGAAATGAAATATTTCAAAAAGGATAAGGATGACATGAATTAAATAACAGAGCAATGACAAGACACAAGTTATAACATTTTAAAAAATATTTTTATGCATGTGTAAAATGTTCATAATGTTACTTTAGGGGTACTTTAACTTCTCTTCCTGTGTATTATACCTGAACAATGATGGAATGATGTTTTTTTAAAAAAATATTAGGATTCTAAAGACCTTTTCTACCATTAATTTTCTATAATGGTGCTGAAATCTTATTATCTGCATTTTATTGCTATGAAAACTAAAATATAGAGCAGTTAAGTGACTATCCAGTGAACAAGTGGCAGAATTGGAAATAGCACCCAATATTTTATCCTACCTATTAAATCATATATCTTGCTAACCTAGAGGTGCCTCTTTTCACACTAATCTACTTTTGATTCATAGCTATGGAAGTCCTGAATGCTGACCTATTAGAAATCTGTAATTAGTCAGCACCTAACTATATATTAGATTCTGTTAAGTAATGTCATTACAAGAACAAGGGGGATGAAACTGGAAACTTTTCGAAGAAATAAAACTATTCCTAAATCTTTGAAGATAGGTTAACTTATGACATGTCATCCCATGCACCATGTATCAATAAAAAAAAAAGTTCTAGTTTAGAAATGGTAAGAAAAATGTTCACGAAGTATTTAGATAAATTCATGCACAATGCACTCCTAATATATGCCCTAATATTAATTATCTCTGTTGTTTAAATCCTCCTGCAGTAATCTGCCCTCTCTCTCAGCGATTATTATTGTCTACTTTGTACCTAGATCTATGTATGCAGATTTTACTTTCCCCACTAAATTCTAAAGGTGGTGATTGGGTCCCATACATTTTCTGTGTCCTCTGCAGTGGATAACAATGCCTCAGTCATGGTAGTAATAAGTTGTTGCTGAATGAAAACAATGCATATATTGGATTATATCACTAGGCTTTTCAGATTGATGTCCAAGACAACCAGATCTAGTCATTAGGTCTGTACCTAGGACCCCTGTCAAGGACAGAGCTCTGGGTGAGATGAATTGCAGGTCTAAACCAACAGCAATTCTCATGCTCTAAATTCACAAACTAAATGAAGGATTGTACACTCTAGAAAGGCTGCTATTCAGATTTTAAAAAAATAAAACAAAGTAGATACAAATCCCTCTTTTAGTGTTCACTCTGACTGCAGGGAAGGATATACAGGTATTTCTTATCAGGCCAGAAAGACTGCCTAGCTAAGAAATAAACATCTTAAGTTAAAGATTTTTATTTCCACTATGTGGGCAACCCTTGCATAGTGAACTTGCACTCAGAGAAAATCTGTTTATTGTGCCGTAAAAAGGAAAGTCCCCAATAATTAGGAAGCATCATGTGTGCTCGAAGAAATGAAGTCAATAACAGTATTCCAATGTGTGTTGTATCTAAACTAAACTATAAAAGTAGCTTTTTACCATTGCATGCAAATGATGGCTGGAAAATAGCCCACTTTACATAATTGCACAGCTGTGGGCAGTCTGGCTTCCAAAATTCAGGATGCATCGTGATAACATGTGTAGGACCCAGAAAGGGGTTAATTTTGAAAACAGTCACTTTCATATACTCAGATGGAGACAGAGCACCATTATTGATGTTTAATCGATCAATAGGCATTTCTTCCTATGATATGAAGTTTACATTACCCTCCATCTGGAGTGAGTGAAGGAATAAGAAGGAAATCTGTTAAATGCAAAATTACTTCTTATTCGCTTTGCCCATGTCATTTCAGTTCAGCTTACTACATGTTAATCTTTTCTATGACTTAAATAAAGCAATAGAAAGTGATTGCACTTTAACCCTTTTGTGGATTTCTCAAACGCTTTAATCTAAACGCAACAATTTAGACCATGATTTAGGATAAGCTATCATATCTCTGTCTCACAACATGATCAAGTAATTGGCCAGTTACTTCGTAGGTTCCATTTCTTCACCAGTTCTATAAAATCCTACGGTCCCAGATTTCTCAAACCCCTTCTTTCTGCAGCAACTCTGCTCCCCGTTTCAGTTTCTAAGTCTAGAAAGCAATGTGGTAGAATGCAACGAGTATGAATTTAGCTACAAATAGACCACATTTAAAATTTCAGTTCCACGGAACTGCCTATACGAGACCCTAAACAATATGTTAACCTCTCTAAGACTCCATTTCTGTATCTGTAAGATGGTTACACTAGAGCCTGGCTCATAAATGAAATAACATATATGAAGTGCCTGGTACATAAAGGTCACTTAATTCATACACATAGCCTTTCCTCACCCTCAAATGGGATCATTTGTTTTTTTCTGCATTTAGAATCATGTTTTGTGAATGGTGGTGTTTGTTTCATTTCCTAGACTCTGGCTTATTAATTCACATAGTCAAAGCATAGTGTAGAAGGTGCAGATTTGTATCTTCTATTTCAGAAAAGACAAATTAGTAAAAATTTTTTGAAATGGTGAACCAGGCTGGCCATGGTGGCTCATGCTTGTTGTAATCCCAGAACTTTGGGAGGCTGAAGTAGGAGGATTGCTTGAGGCCGGGAGTTTGGTATGAGCCAGAGCAACATAGAGAGACCTCTGTTACTACAAATTTTTTTTAATTAGCAATGGTGGCATTTGCCTGTATCCTAGCTATTCAGGAGGCTGTGGTGGGAGGATCACCTGAGCTCAGGGGACTGAGGCTGCGATGAGCCATGTTTGTGCCACTGCACTCCAGCCTGGGCAACAGAATGAAACCCTGTTTCAAAAAAAAAAGCCAACCAAGCAAGTGTGTTTAGCTGGTGACCTAATGACCAGGGAGTAAGATTGTTTAGTGCTTTGGTAAGTTATTTTTATTTTGTTATGTATTATAAGTTCGATTATTACCATTACTGGGGTGGAAGTGAGGGGGTTGTCAGGACAAGTGCATATCCTCCTGAATGGATAAATAAGGCAGAGGAAGGCATGTGACCTAAATGTGTGTGCTACAGACCATGTGTACTATTCTCCATCATGTATCTCCTAAATTTTCTTAGTAAAGAAAGACGTGAACAGGAAGCCCCCTCCTTAACAAGGTCTCACTGTGCCCCTACGATTTCCCCATTCATGCCTACAATGTTAAAGTCTTCCAAAGGAAGAGTCTTCAGACCTTCTGTACATGTAGTGACAATCATCTGCTGTGTACAGAAAACCTCCAGGTAGGAGAGAGAGAGCTGCTGCCATTGTGTTTAAATTCCTAAGATCAACACTCGGCATTTTAAGGTAATAAATAGCAATAGTTCTCATTGTAGCAATTTCTTTTTTATTCATATTTTTAATTGACAAATCATAATTGTATCCATTTGTAAGGTACAGTGTGATATTTTGATATATGTATACAATGTGTAAAGATTAAATCAAGCGAATTAACACATCCATCGCTTCACTTATTCTTTCTGGTGCGATATTTGAAATTTACTCATTGCTATTTTGAAATACACAATTTCTATCTAGTTCAGGGCCACATGGGCAACCATTAGAATGCGGTATAAAATCAGTAGGTACTAATGAATAATGAATGAAGGCTCACTCCCAAACCAGGCGATCTAATGGAAAGTTTAACATAATTTCACAATCCAAACCATTGTTCACCCACTTGTTCTGCTTCTTGCTCTCTGTATATCCTACCTTCATGTGTGCAGGCTGCTCAGCCACTAAGAAACCTATTACCTGGAACAAGTTCAACCTGCTGCTTTCGTCTGACCTAGACTTTGCAATGCAATAAGAAATCCTTCTGTATTAAGAATGTAGAATATGGATTATAAGTGTTAGGTAATTCTTTGGTCCTTAGGGTCACACAAGGTTGTCCACTGAGCATGCTCATGACACAACATCAAACCTGTCAAAGTGGAGCAGCATGGATTTCATTTGTGATGGGACCTCCTGAAACGTGCAAAGACCAGACAGAATGTAGCCAATCAATGACCATTCACCAGCACAGAGAGTACAAAAAATACCACATTTCCTTATTTTTGCTTTCTTTTTTTTTCTTTTTCTTTTTTTTTTTTTTTTCTGAGACAAAGTCTCACTCTGTCACCCAGGCTGGAGTGCAGTGGCGTGATCTCAGCTCACTGCAACCTCTGTCTCCTGGGTTCAAGTGATTCTCCTGCCTCAGCCTCCCAAATAGCTGGGATCACAGGTGCGTACTATGCCTGGCTAATTTTTATATCTTTAGTAGAGACGGGGTTTTGCCATATTGGCCAGGCTGGTCTCGAACTCCTGACCTCAAGTGATCCACCCACCTCGGCCCCCCAAAATGCTGAGATTACAGGCGTGAGCCACCATACCCAGCCTCATTTTTCTCTAAATCAACTTAAGTCCAATTCTAAGCCCCACTCCCCTGAGAAGTAGAAAAGTCAAACTCAGTCATTACTAGAGCTCTCCAAGCATAGGTCACATAAAAAGTCCCTGGGTCTGAAGCAGGACGAGACATTGTGGAGGCCCCACTGGTTATGAGACATCCGGAGATACAGAAAACCACCAGGGTCTCCATGGTCCTGGCCATCTGGGATAGGGCAACTCATCTGCTTCTGTTCCATTTGTGGGGTTCAGAAAATCCTCAGCAAAACTGGAAGTGCCCTGCCTCTGAGGTGCATCAAACAGGTGTCCCATTTGAGTCATGCTGCTCCCTTGGGTGGCTGCCACTAGAGGGGACATGCCCCCCACTACTGATGAAATTCATCAACCTCCAACCTTCTCCCAGTCCAGGTGAATGACCTCTCCCCTCCCTGCTCAACGCTCTCAAAAGCATTCTGGGCTCTCTTCTCCTTCTCTGGTGAAATCTAATCTAGTCTGAGCTTAGGCTTTTTCAAAAATCAGGAAGACCTTCTGCTTTTGAGGCAAGAGAAGGCAAAGCCTGGATTTCTGTTAGAAATGGGAAGGATAGAAGTGACTCCAAGAAGGAAGCAAGACCAAAATCTTAGGAAATTATCCCATCCCATTGGTGTCATAAAAAAAGCAGATGAGTTGCCCTTGAGTTCCTGGCCTGGGAACTGGGTAGGACCAACTCTCCCAGACAGAGAAGTTCTGGGAGCCACAGTCAGGATGCACCACCCCCAGGCACACTGGCTATGTGTGAGAACCAAGAAATTATCATGGGTGTTTCAGGGCAGCACCCCCATGTGCCTTCCCACCCATCCCTCAAGGGATTCTGGGCAGAGGTTCCCATGGGCTTGGAGTAGCAGTAAGTTAAATGAAATAGGGAAGATGAACTGAAAGAATCACAAGACCAAAAGCATGGCAGGAATCTGCAAACACAAGACCAGCCTACCTTTGAGCCTAAAATCCAGCTGGATATTTGTGGAGAGGTCACCTTATTCATGGCCAAAGGGCTGACCAGATCCACGCCAGCAGGGAGTGCTGAAGAGGAAGAGAGAAGCTTCTCCGCAGGACAGCATCAGCACCTACAGCTGGTTTGAAAGGGCCCTGAGGACCAAGCAGATAAGAGAGGTCATGGTTAGGTAGGGGCTATTGAGAGTCATGACGTGGACACACAGCCTTGACATGGACACACAGCCTTGCAATGGACACACAGCAGACAAACAGCAAGGGAATCACAGGGCACCAGAGCAAGAGGACAGGCAAGGCAAATGTGCCCAATGCTTGGAGACTCTGCCAGGGAACTGGGGCCTCCATATACAGGGATCCCACTGCTAGGAATTCTGGAAAAAGGCCCCTCTAGACATGGACTTCAACTGTGCCCTGTCTGGCTGGTATTGCTGAGAAAACTTCAGTTACACTTTCAAGCACAAGCAAAAATCTCTTCACATTATAAGAAAAAAGATCATCCTTTTAAGCAATGAGGTCTCATGTTCTGGTCCCCAGGTAATTTGACTGAGATTGAACTTAGCAAATGTTTACGGAGACAGAAAACAATGATTAACAAATTCATTAATTCAATTAGGGCACAGGGTAGCTCCTCCAAAAATGTTTGTTGTTGCTGCTGCTGATGACGATAATTAAAATCTTGTTTATAGATAGGTTGTGATGTATAATCATTTCATAACTAAGTCCTTATGCCTTGATGAGAACTATCATTGTGTGTAAATATTGACTAAGGCTGAGCTTCACACATGCCATTGAAATTCCAGTTTATAATCTCCTGCTAACCAACAGTAATGAACTAAACTGAGACCTCAGATCCAACAAACAACCTGCTGGCATTGATGGTTGGAGGTGCACACGTGATCCTAAATCAACATATCTTATAATCGTTTTTTGTATTTTGCAGACCATCTGGGCTTAACTGATAGAAAGAAATTCTTCATGAGAATTCTGAAATTTCTTCATCATTCAGTGACTTCTAGGATTTCTAATGGTGAAGATCTTCTCTATGATTCAGGCCCCCACAGAGCACCAGGAGGTTGGGGGACCAACAGCTTCTGGATTCAATGGGCCTCTGATACTGTCAATGTGACCCAGTGCACTTTTGCTAGAAGAGTGGTGCTTTTTCATTAGGAAGCCATCTTGTCCTGAGAATGACTAAAAAAAATTAATTTTCTAAATGTCAGCCCAAACCGGCAAGAATAAATGTGCTGAGTTTGGTGCCAGTGGCAAGAATCTACTTTTTTAAAAATTATCAGCAGTAAGTTAAAGATTGAATGGCAGGCCGGGTGCAGTGGCTCACGCCTGTAATCCCAGCACTTTGGGAGGCTGAGGTGGGTGGATCACCTGAGGCCAGGAGTTCAAGACCAGTCTGGTCAATATGGTGAAACCCCGTCTCTACTAAAAATACCAAAAAAAAGTTAGCCAGGCATGGTGGTGGGCACCTGTAATCCCAGCTACTCAGGAGGCTGAGGCAGGAGAATTGCTTGAACCCGGGAGGCGGAGGTTGCTGTGAGCCAAGATCATGCCATTGCATTGCAGCCGGGGCAACAAGAGTAAAACTCCGCCTCAGGAAAAAAAAAGATTGAATGGCAGTAGAAACTGGACTTTCCTAGACACTCCCTCTGCCCATCCCAACCCTCCAAAATACACACCTCCATACACAAACACACACACACACACACACCACACATCCATGCCACAACACACCCCACCACACCCACAAATGTCACACGTACTTTACTTAATAATTTACCAGATGGAAATTTAAATTATGAGATACTGTCTGTAAGTAAATTAGAGTAAGTCGGTAACTTAAACATATTCACTAAAACCCAAATCCAAACTCGCATTTTGCCACAAGTTACCCTTTACTACCATTTACTCCAAACCATCAGCTGAGGTGTTGGCATCAACAGGACTACCAGAAAAGGGAAGCAACATTTCCTCTGCACAGAGCTTGGGGGCTGGGAGGGACCCTCTTTTACAGGCATGAGTGAAATTAATGTGAAAGAGGCAAGAAATCTTACTGTGCATTCCTGTACATAGTACATTATCTCCTCTCATCTGGAAGCATCTATTGAAGGGCAGGCTACTGTAGAAGGCATTAGGATTATCAAGACAAATTTAAAGAGAAATAGTGTGTTTGAATTTAGCTGTCAGCATTCAAAGCTGGGAAAGACAATAGTTTGATAGATTTTGTAGATGGAGAGAGAGAGAGAGAGAGAGAGAAAGAAAATCTTCTAAATTCTTTTCCTGTATCAGGAAACAAGCCTGAGGGCTCAGGTCTCAGACTTTCTTCTATAATGTAGATAAGATTCCCATTCTGCTTATGACAGGCCATTATGCTTGTTGCCCTAAAGTGGAAAGAGGATATGCCAAAGAGGAAGACGTACAGATAGAAAATTCTGAACCTTTAAGAAAAGTCTAGAGGCTGCCCCCAGAAGGAGATTGTGGGAAGAGGAGATGAGAAAGGCCAAGAAAGCAAGGTCCAATATCAAGGTTCTCCCGGTCCACTCTGGGGTGGAGCAGCTTTTAAAATATCCAGTAAGGGCTGGGCGTGGTGACTTATGTCTGTAATCCCAGCACTTTCGGAGGCTGAGGTGAGCAGATCACCTGAGGTCAGGAGTTCGAGACCAGCCTGGCAACCATGGTGAAACCCCTTCTCTACTAAAAATACAAAAATTAGCCAAGTGTGGTGTCACACACCTGTAATCCCAGCTACTCAGGAGGCTGAAGCAGAAGAATCGCTTGAACCCAGGAGGCGGAGGTTGCAATGAGCCAAGATCATGCCACTGCACCCCAGCCTGGGTGACAGAGCAAGACTCTGCCTAAAAAAAAAAAAAAAAAAAAAAAAATCCAGCAAGGTATACGAGAACCCGCTGGTGGCACCTTCCTGGGGTATAGCAGGGTGTAGTGGCAAGCCTTCCCCGTGGCCCAGGACACAGGCACAGCCTCATCAGAGGAGTGACCTGGTGAGTCTTCTGACATTCCTGTCCCAGTAGCGTGCATGGGGACTCAGGTAACCACATGCCTCACTGTGATGATGCATAAAGAACCCACACAGGCTGGGTTAGAATGAGGATGCTCTCAGGTGGGGGCTTTAAGAAAAGGGACAAATGGTCCAAAGCCAGATGGAACCAGCATTTCTCCATGATCACCAGACCAGGAAGCAGGAAAGGCCAACCACTCTGTCTCAGAAGACAGTGAGGACATAAATGGCCTCACTGCTAAGAGATTGCGTGCCACCTGGGGTGGGTGGTGAGAGCCAGGGGTGGGAAATCTGAAAGATCCAAAGAGGCAGAGCCACAACTACACATCAGACTAGGTTTCTAGAATTTTACTAGGTGGTGTCCCCTGCCCTAACTGCCCCAACCCCTCGCACCTACCCAGCAGACAGGGACTTGTGTGCAAGATGAGAACAATAAAGAGACCTGGTTTTCTTTGAGCAGAAAAGTGTAACATGAGCAAATTTGCCACTTGAGTTCGGCAGCTTCAGGAAGTCTCAATTAGCTACATGTATAGACGAAATATTCTGAACCTTGGAGAAGATGCTACTGGCTTCAAAAAGACAAAATTTTGGCTAGATGCAGCGGCTCATATCTGTAATCCCAGCACATTGGGAGGCCAAGGCAGGAGGATTACTTGAGGCAAGAATTCGAGACCAGCCTAGGTAAAATAGGGAGACCCCCCCATCTCTTTAGAAATAAAAAATAAAATTGGCTGGGCACAGTGGCCTATTCCTGTAGTCCCAGCTACTCAGGAGGCTGAGGTGGGAGGCTCTCTTGAGCCCAGGAAGTCGAGGCTACAGTGACCCATGATGGCACCAGTGCACTCCAACCTGGGCAACAAAGCAAAAGTCTATCTCCAAAAAAACCAAACAAAATTTAATCCTTTGACCATGTGATTTTGTATCGTATGTTATACTATATTATGTATTATGCATCATGTGTATACATTATTTAGACATTTTTTGCTTTTAAATTCTTCAAGTGGATGTGCCTAGGTAGCTGGACATTTTGTCTTCTCGTCCTTCATCCCGGGTCCGGGTCATCCCACACATGCACCACCTCTTGGGCAGATCAGGGAGCTCTTCT
Organism: Homo sapiens; assembly: GCF_000001405.40. NCBI lineage: Eukaryota > Metazoa > Chordata > Mammalia > Primates > Hominidae > Homo > Homo sapiens. The sequence continues at coordinate 20,054,917 of NC_000006.12, forward strand.
GCTCTGTCAGAAATGAGACAGGAATGGAACAACTGGCTGTGTGGTGAGGTAGGGCCGGGGAGAGGAGAAACTCAGGGGTACAAGGGTGAGGGGAGGGAGAGAGACTCCTAGTAAGTCTTCTCATGAGGTCCGAGAGAGAAGCAGCCACATGATGGCTACAGAAACAAGGAATGAAAGCTTTCATGTCTGGCGTGTGGAGCACATGGGGCCATCTGAGTGCTTTCTCCAACCTTGGAGAAGGCACTTTCTAGTCTCTGCACAAGGGAGATTATGAATTATGGATTATGGATTGCAATGGGGATACTTGAGTCAGAGGTAAGAAGGTGAAGTGCATGTCCTACTGGAAACTGTGTGTGTGTGTGTGTGTGTGTGTGTGTGTGAGAGAGAGAGAGAGAGAGAGAGAGAACACGAGTAAGAACAGCAAGACTGGCTAGTAAGAAATCTACTAGGAATGCATTTCTAGCATGAAAGGCATGATCCTAAGATTATACATAAACACAAAGAATCAGCAGCCCAATTACATTTCACCTGTAGTCCCAGCTACTCAGAAGGCTGAGGTGGAAGGATCACTTGAGCCCAGGGAGGTCAAAGCAGCCGTGAGCTGTGGTCATACCGCTGCACTCCAGCCTAAGCGACAGAGCAAGACCCTGTCTCAAAAACACAAACAAACAAACAAACAAAATGTTATTTTATTCTTTTTTGTAATTTGGAGCAATTTTGATAACTAAATAATATTTAATTAACTCAAATTTTCTTTTCTAACAGTTGACTCCAACTTTCTTTTTGAACCAGGAAAGAAATACGTTACACATGGATATGCTAGTCAGAAACAAAAGTCATGGGTAAAGTAATGAATTTTCAAAGTTACTTTAAAACAGGCCCATTTTTGTATATGTATGTGTGTGTTTTCAACCACCATGGCTTCCCAAAATTAAAATATACTGGGAAATGGGGGACTATAGGGATGGGGTGGAGTAGAGATGAACAAACCAACATTTCCAATTCCTGAACAGGATTCCCCCAACTTGCTATTAAGACACTGGGCTGCATGCAGGATTCGGAATGTTCATATATGGACAACCTAATCCATTGTTTTATTTTCACTCCTTCAGCCCAAACAAGTGTCCTCACTCTCTTCTGTCTTGCTTCTGGATCTTAATGTTTGCATGAACAAAACATTAAGAAACGAGAGAGCAATCCAGTGTAGCAAAGCGCTATCGCTGCAAATAGTCATCTTGAGGTTTGTTGGGATTTTCAGAAAGTAAGACACGTTCACGGTTATGAGTGGGCATCCGATTTACCTGCTAGAAATGTAAGTGACTCTTCACATGGGCCCTTTTCTCCAAAAACACCACCTTTCAGAGAGATGAAGTGAAGTGGGGAGACTAAGAATCTAATATTTTCAGCTACATAAATTCATTTCAGCATAAACTCATCTCAGCTTGAAAATCTGAACAATGTAAATTTACTCTCCAGAGAGAAAGATAAAGAGAAGAAACGGCAAGATTTCTCCCTGGAATCTGTTGAGAATAAAGAGGGAGCATGGGTGTGGGGACGTGCATTTTGTGCTGTACCTTTGAAAAGAGAACAGAACACAATGTCCTAAGATAAATCGTCATTTTCTGAAGCCAGCATTTTCTCCCAAATTCTTAAGGAAATGTTGCCACCTTCTGGACAAAAGCTTAGTAAGCATTCACCACAACCCTGCTTTCCAGCTTATTTATAAACTCGTTTACATGAGTTAATAAATAATTTTGCTGTGACTTTTCTATTATTCTACCTGCACAGCACTGATAGCCTCAAAAACTCAAGTCACTATAAAAGCACTAATCATATGCCTAACAGAACAGAAAGCCCACTTTGCCAATTAAGCAGATTCTTCAAGAGAGAAATAATCACACTGACAAAGTTTACCAGATTTTAAAAAATCTCATTCATGGACTTCTTAACTCTTACAGGGTTTGAAGAATGGTGGGTAGACTCTCAACCAGGTTTTCTCTTTACAGTTTTTTTTTTAATTACAACTTCTCTCTTTTAATAATAGGTTCAAATTCATCTAACCAAATAGTCTTGAATTTGATTTTTTTTCAATGTATTTTAAGGTCATCAGTAATATTTTGAGCATTCAGAAACAAAGACATCTGTGCTCATATCCTGAGAATTTGTAAAATGCTCACATTTCTTTACCGTAATGGGTGGGCCCTTCCCATCAGTCAATTCTCATTACCAATGTTTTCAATAAAGCAAGGCAGTTAAGGTGGACACGCTTTATGTGAAGAGCTATGCATTGTGCAAAGAAGGCGCCTGCCCACTTAGTACTGAGCATCTTCCCCATGCTTACGCCTGAGGTTTGCGTCTCCAACGTGGAGGAGTCTGCAAGACGACGAAGTTCATTGCTCTGCTGGATGAGGACCGCATTACTTGATCTTCTCAGCGCTGTTTAAATGTCCAATAAACCCAATGTCCCTCTTCATTCAGGATCTCGCCGAGGGCTTAGAGGAAAGCTGCAGTACTTCTCAGAGAAGCTCTATTCATTTTTCTGAGGATGTGGCTGATGAAATTGACAGCCCTGTCTTCCTCATCCATGTTTTCGCAGGTGGGAAATTCGGTGGTGAAGCCCCAACTTGCGGCATGTCCCTAACACTGCTGATAGCCTTGTCTTCTGTTCTCCAGCCCTTCAGGTGGCTGACCAGGAGCCCTACTGCACGATCTAAGGTGTTAACTCAATTCTGTGCTAGACCGTTGCCTTGGTTTCCCCCACAGTCATTGCAGCAGCGGGCTACATGGCATCTCTGCAAATTAAAGAAGTGCACGGAAAGGAGAAAAGCCAACTGTTTTGACCAAATCGCAGACAGTGCTTTTCCTCATCCACCAGACATGAGAACCAATGGAGGCAAATGGAAAAAAACACATCCTTCTTAGAAATCTTGTTTGGGCCGGGCGCAGTGTCTCGCGCCTGCAATGCTGGCACTTTAGGAGGCCGAGGCAGGTGGATCACCTGAGGTCAGGAGTTTGGGACCAGCTTGGCCAACATGGTGAAACTCCGTCTTTACTAAAAGTACAAAAATTAGCCGGGCATGGTGGTGCGCGCCTGTAATTCCAGTTACTCGGGAGGCTGAGGCAGGAGAATTGCTTGAACCCGGGAGGCGGAGGTTGCGGGGAGCCGAGATCGCACCACTGCACTCCAGCCTGGGCGACAGAGCAAGACTCTGTCTCTAAAAAAAGAAAAAAATGAAAAGAAAAATATCTTTTCGTTTTGAATGGGGAAGCCCCTGGTGCAGAAATGTCTTTGGTACTGGTGATAATCTGGGCCTGTGAGTGCTAAATTGATTCTCTGTCCTGCAGGGGCTGAATATCAAGGAACAAATGCATTAATCATGGGAGAGCCTGTGTGCCAACGAGCATAAAGACCACTGCACCCAGCAGCGGCGATTGCGTGAACCTTTCCACAGACCACACGCTCCGAAGTAGCTCTCTGAAGTCTCATTACTGAATGTGTAGGGGAGGGATGGGGGGTTGCATCTGACTTTCACTGAAATGTGCATTTAGAAATAAGTGTATTTACATTTAGTTTTATGTTTAAAAAGGGGGGTAGGGATGGGGAATCTTTGGGCCACAGTCATTATAGATGAAACAAACACACGGACACAGATAACACACACGCGCACATGCACAAAAGCTTTCGGGGAGAAACAGAAAATAATGTTTTGCAATTACAGTCCACAGCTGCTGCAGTTCCAGTGTGCGTGTGCTACACAGGTGCGGCCATTATAACAATGAATAGCGCACATTAAACGTGCCATCCATAGGGGTAATAATACTAGGGTTGAAAAGGTATTTTCATTTGCAACCTGATGTTAGGCAGAAAATAAAATAAGGCATTTCACAGCCAGCCTGATGGCTCGGCTACCACATGGGAGGCCCAAGCCTGAGATGAATCTGAGACCCTTATGTGTGTGTCTAACAGTGGGAACCTGGCCATGGTTCCTAGAGAGACCGTCAAATTTCTTTCTGTTCTAAAAAGCCTGCTGACCATGAAGTGGGGGAAACTGAGGCTCCACACAGTTTATCCAGTTAGCAGTATCAGCCAGCATGACATCTATCCCTGCCCAGCGCCTACTAGTGTCTGGATCCTAGAAATAGTGTTGGGGGAAAAAATACAGAGAGAGGTTCCCCCATGGGTGGGGAAGTAGAATGGCTCCCACAGAGAAGGAACCCTGGAGGAGGAAGTGGTTTTGAGACAGCTCCCCTTAGGCCCTGTCTCTGCACCATGCCATCACTAAGCTCTACCCCACAACTCAGCAATGTTCTTCCCTGGGACAGCCCCAGAAGGCTTGGCTCTAAGCCCAAAATAGCCGACCTGCTTTGCTCACCTCTCTCTTTAAAAGCCCAGCAGCAGAATGGGCCCTGTATCTCATTTCATTTACTTTCCACAGCTTCTCAAATCACTAAACTCTTCACTCTTGGTGGACAAATTCATCTTCAGGCAACCAAGACATTCATGAAGATTGGCAGTTGGAAAACGCTGGAAAAGAGACAGCTTTGGGTAGTGACAAGAGAGTGAGCTTTAGAATCAGAGGACAAAAGACCCCATCTCAGCACGGCCAGCTCTGTGATCTTGAACAAATTATTTAAACTCTCTGAACCTCTGCAAAATGAGGTTAATAGTATCTGCTGCATAGGGTTGTCGTAAGGCTCTAATGACACCAAGTATGTGAAAATACTTAACGCCAAGCTTGGAACTAGCAAGCACTAAATAAATAATAGAGATTATGAGAGTAACTTCCATTTCTTTATCTCATAATAGAGATTATGAGAGTAACTTCCATTTTCCTGAGTGGGTCTGTGAATAACTTCTAACCCATTCTCAGCAATAAAATGGAAATCTCTATCAAGAAAGGAGAAAAAAATGTACTACACATATTTCTCACAACCATAGAGGCAGCTTCAGACCAAACATTTCAGGAAGGCTGTTAGAAATGTGTAACGCTCTGCAGAATAATTGTTTTCATATTGTCTACTTTTAACAGTGGTAAAAGCAAACAATAAAACAAAAAATAATGCATGTTGTAGAGTGAATTTTA